>NC_000014.9:71278379-71429894 GCF_000001405.40 Homo sapiens | reverse complement strand
TTATTTCTAAATAAATTCACATCTGATAGCAAAATACAGTGCAATGAATAAAACTAGCCTTCAACTTCAAAGCCAAATATTATAAGCTAATGAGATCTACCTATTTGTAAATATACATCAGGTCTTCAAACACAGTTCCTATCCTGTACCATTTCTCCACATATAAACATATAGGACTAAAGAACCTATCCTCTGCTGATGGAAGCCACTTAGATAAAGCAATTCGAGAGTGTCTATTACAATATCCCATGACCTGACAACTGCATAGAGAAACATGCCCATATACACAGAGCCAAGGACAAGGATGTTGCCTGCAGCCTTGTTTATAATCAGGAACTATCAGAAACAATCTAGAAGTTCAGCAATGGGAAAAATGAAGAAAAAAAAAATCAATCCCCATGACTAGGCAGCAGTTAAAAAGGATGAACTGGGATTATATGAACCAACATGAATACCTATCCAAAGCCAGTTGTTGAATAAAAAAAAAAAATTACAGATATTAAATACAATGGCAATTATGTGAAGTTTCTAAAATACAAAAATACAATGCTTTTATATTATAAATAAAAATAAAAGTACCAAATCAACAAACTGTTTACCAGTGGAGAGCAAGCCAGAGAACCAGGACGAGGGAAGTGGGGAGGAAACAGGCACTCAAACCTTATAAATGGACTAATTTATTACTTCTATTAAAAAATTAATCTTGAAAAAATGTCCCACAAAAACAAAATGTTATCAAGTGACTTGGGATTAAATAATACGGTGAAATAAAAATAATATCTCAGCAACTATTACTAAATTAAAATGAAATTGAGGAGCAGGTTCTGGGATGATCACAGAGTAGCAAGTATCAGGAATCTGTCTTCCCGCCCAGACAATAGATGCACTGGCAGAATCTATCCAAAATAATTATTTTGGAGCTGTGGAATCTATGGAAAACTTGCAACTTCTAGCAGAAAGCCTGAACAGTTCATTGAGGTTATTTTCATTTAATTTTGGCTCTTACCGTAGTTGCAGCTACCCATCATCTACCCCAAGTCCTGGGGCAGGTAGCTGGGCACACATTTCCTAGAGTAGTTTGCACACAGCTGGCAAGAGCCAGGATGGGCAAAAAGGACCCTGCCCTCTAAATATCAGGGATCTGTGCTCTAATGGCTGACTGCTGCTTCTGATCACAAAAGTGCAAAGAGGCCACTGTTGTTGAACCTCCCCTCTTGCAGGAAGCCCCTCCTTTTTGACCAAAGGGACTTCAGGGCATTTAACAGGCCAGAGCCCTTCTCCCCAACCCCCATTCAATTTTCTCTTTACCCCTTTTAAGGGCCAGACATTAAAGACTAGGCCATTCAAAAGCAACCACATATATGGGGAAAATTAGAACGTGACCATGCATGGTCAGGGAAAGGTGCAGACTCAGAAAATATCTGAAAAGACCTTAAATTTACACATCAGATTGATCATCAGCACACAGACAGCCTACAATAAAAATAAAAATAAAAATAAAACCAGTAAAAAAGAAAAAAAAAACCGCAAATCATAAGGAAGGGGGAGAATCTGATTTCCAGAGTTGGCACATTATGAGATTAAAATGTCCAGTTTTCAGCCAGGCATGGTTGCTCATGCCTGTAATCCCAGCATTTTGGGAGGCTGAGGTGGGGGGAATCACCTGAGGTCAGGAGTTCGAGACCAGCCTGGCCAACATGGCAAACAAAACCCCATCACTACTAAAAATACAAAAATTAGCAGGCACAGTGGCACACACCTATAGTCCCAGCTGCTTGGGAGGCTGAGGCAGGAGAATCGCTTGAATCTGGGAGGTGGAGGCTGCAGTGAGTCAAGATCACACCACCGCACTCCATCTCAAAAAAATGAGACTCCATCTCAAAAAAAATAAAAATAAAAAAATAAAGTGTCCAGTTTTCAACAACAACAACAAAATCACAAGAAACACAAACAGGAAAATACTGCCCATTCAAAGGAAAAAATAAATTAAAAACTGACCCTGAAAAATACTTGTTGGCAGATTTACTAGACAAAAACAACCATGTTAAAGATAAACAAAGAACTAAAGGAAGATGTAGAGAAACTTAAAAAAAAATTCATAAGCAAAATGAAAATATTCATAAAGAGATGCAAAATCCAGAAAAAAATTTTTGAAGTTGAAATGCACAATAGAAATGAAAAATCCACTGAGGGAATCAAAGGCAGATTTGAGGATGCAGAAGAAAGAATCAGTGAACCTGAAGAGAGGACAATGAAAATGATCAAGTCTGAGAAACAGGAAGAAGACTGTAGAAAAGTGAGCAGAGCCAGGGGACCTATGGGACACCATCAAGCTAAGCAACACATACATTGTGAGAGTTCCAAAAGGAGACAAGAAAACTCAAAGAGACCCCCATTGATACACATTATAATATCTTTCTAAAGACAAAGATAGAATCTTGAAAGCAGCAGGAGAAAAGCAACTCATCACATACAAAGGATCCTCCTAAGATTATTAGCAGTTTTCTCATCAGAAACTTTGGAGGCCAAAAGGCAGTAGGAAGATATATTCAAAGTGCAAAAAACAAACAAACAAACCTATCAACCAGAATGTTATTCTGTCAAAACTGTCCTTCAAAAGTGGGTGCGAAATGAAGACATTCTCAGACAAAAAAAAAAGCTGAGAAAGTTGACTACCATTAGACCCGTCTTGCAAGAAATGATAAAAGAAGTCCCTGCAGGGTAAAAATAAAAGGACACTAAAAAGTAACTTGCAGCCACATAAAGAAATAAAGACTTCAATAAAAGAAAATGCAGGAGCAATTATAAAAGTATCATTGTAAAAACAGTCTGTAACTGCATTTTTTGTTTGCTCTGTGATTTAAGAGACTAAACTTTCTCTAAAAATTTAGTCTAAAAGGTAGTGCTATTAGTTACAATGCCACATTTTGTTTTCTACATGGTTTAAGAAATGAATGCACTAATCTCTTATTAGTTCATTATTACTTTATGTTTTTGAGCACACAAGGTATAAAGATGTAATTCTGTGACATCAACAGTGAAAAAGGTGGTGCCTGAACTATTAGAGGAAGAGAGTTTATGTAGTTAAGCTGGTATAAATTCAGGCTGGGTGCAGTGGTTTACAACTGTAATCCCAGCACTTTGGGAGGCCAGGGCAGGCAGATCATTTGAGGTCAAGAGTTTGAGACCAGCTTGGCCAACATGGTGAAACCCCGTCTATACTAAAAATACAAAAAAATTAGCTGGGCATGGTGGTGCACGCATGTAATCCCAGCTACTCAGGAGGCTGAGGCAGGAGAATCGCTTGAACCTGGGAGGCAGAGGTTGCAGTAAGCCAAGATCATACCACTTGCACTCCAGCCTATGCAACAGAGTGAGACTCTGTCTTTGGGAAAAAAAAAAAAAAAAGAAAGAAATTCAAATTAGGGTATTATGACTTTAGAATGTTAAATGTAATTCCTATGGTAACCACAAAGAAAATACCTACAGAATACAAACAAGAAAAAAAAAATTTTAAAGGTTTCACTAAAAACAAACAAACAAACAAATACAAAAGTCAACAGTTAATGCTAGAAATAAGGAACCAAAAAGCTACAAGGCATGTAGAAAACAAATAGCAACATGACAAAAGTGCCTCCTTATCAGTCATTACTTTAAATGTAAATGGATTAAACTCTCTAATCAAAAAAGACAGAGAATGGTAGAACAGATAAAAACAACCTCTGATAGACAAAGGACATGTGTTTAAAGATTAAAAAATTAAAAAACATGATCCAACTATATGCTATCTACAAGAGGCTCACTTTAGATCCAAAGACACAAACAGATTCTAAGTGCAGTAATAAAACGATTATTTCGTGCAAATAGTCACCAAAAGAAAGCAAGGATGGTTATACTAATACCTAACAAAATAGATTTTAGGTCAAAAACGCTTACATTAAACAAAAAAAGGACATTATATAGTAACAAAAAATACAATATAGCAAGATATAACCATTATAAAAATTTATTCACCTAACTATCAAAATATCTAAAATAAATCTAAAATAAAACCAAAGAGAGAAATAGACCATTCTACAATAATAGTTGGAGACATCAATACCCCATTCTCAATAATGGATGGAACAACTGGACTGGATACAAGGAAACAGAGGACTCAAAAAACACAAGAAACCAACTGAACTAACAGGTATATACAGAACACTCCAAGAACAGTATACACATTCTTCTTAAAAGCATATGGGATATTTTCCAGGACAAGCCATATACTAAGCCACAAATTAAGTCTCAACAGATTTTCAAAGATGCCACATAAAATGTCTTCTGCAATCACAACACGATGAAGTTAGAAATTAATAAGAAGTAAAACTATTTCCACAAAACACAAAATTGTAGGATACTGAACAACATATTCTTAACCAATAGATCAAAGGAGAAATCACAGGGGAAATTAGAAAATACTTAAGACTTGAACAAAAATGAAAACACAAATGCCAAAACTTATGGGACACAGCAAAGGCAGTGCTGAGAGGAAAATTCACAGCTATAAATGTTTACATTAAAAGACAAAATCTCAAGTCAAAAACCTAACTTTAAGAACAAACTAAACCCAAAGCTCACAGAAAGAAGGAGTAGAGATAAACTAAACAAAAGAAAAACAACAGAGAAAATTAAGGAAACAGAAGTTGGTTCTTTGGAAATATCAACAAAATTGACAAATATTTACTGAGATGTACTCACACACACAAAAAGGGAAGATTCAAATTACTAAAATCAAAAATGAAAGTGGGGACATTACTACTGATTCTACAGAAATAAAAAGGCTTATAAGAGTGCACTATGAAGAACTGTATGCAAAAAAACTGGATAACCTAGAAAAAATGGATTCCTAGAAATACAAAATGTTACCAACATTAAATTATGAAGAAACAGAAAACCTAAGAGATATAACTAGTACAGAGATTAAATCAGTAATAAAAAAAATCTCTCAAAAAAGAAAAGTTCTGAACCTAATGGCTTCACTGGTAAATTTTACCAAACAAATAAGGAACTAACACCAATCCCTCTCAAATTTCCATATAATTGAAGAGGAGGGAACACTTCTTAACTCATTATCTGATGCCAGTATTACCCTAAGACCAAAACCAGATGAAGATACTACAAGAAAATTGGAGACCATTATCTCTAATGAATACCGATGCAAAAATCCTCAACAAAATATTGGCAAACTGAATTCAGCAGCATAGTAAAAGGATTATACACCATGACCAAGTGGGATCTATTCCTGGAATACAAGGATGGCTCAACATACAAAGATCATACACCACATTAACAGAATGAAGAGATGAAATATCCCATATGACCATCTGAATTGATGCAGAAAAAGCATCTGTTAAAATTCAACACCCTTTCATGATAAAAACATTCAATAAACTAGGAATAGAAAGAAACTACCTCAATAAAATAAAAGCAACATATGAAAAACCAGTTGCAAACATCATGTCTATAATGAAAGTCTAAAATAAAAGCTTTTCCTCTAACATCACGAACAAGGCAAGAATGCATGCTTTCATCACTTCTATTCAACCTAGTACAGGAAGTTCCACCAGAGCATTTAGGCAAGAAAGAGAAATAAAAGGCATTCTAACTGGAAAAGAAGTAAAATTACTTCTGTCCACAGGTGATATAATCTTACATGTGGAAAACCCAAAAGGTTCCACAAAAAACTGTTAGAACTAATAAATGAATTCAGCAACATAGCAGGAGACAAAGTCTACATACAAAAATCAGTTGCATTTCTATATACTTATCAATGGACAATCTTAAAAGGACATTACAAAAACGCATCAAAAGAATAAAATACCTAGGAATTAAACAAGGAAGTGAAAGACTTGTACAATGAAAACTACAAAACACTGCTGAAAGAAGTTAAAAGAAATAAATAGAAGCACTTTCCATGTTCAAGGACTGAAAGGTTTGATATTAAGATAGCAATATTACCCAAAACAACATACAGATGTAATACAATCCCTATCAAAATCCCAATGATATGTTTGCATAAATAAGAAAAACAATTCTAAAATTTACATGAAATGTTAGGGGACCCAAATAGCCACAATGATCCTGAAAAGGAACAAAGCAGGAAGACTCATACTTTCTGATTTCAAAACTTACTACAACGCTATGGTAATCAAAACAATATGGTACTGGCATAAAGACAGACTCAGACACCAATGGAATAGAATACAGAGCCCAGAATAAGCTTTTGCATACATGGTGAAATGATTTTTGACAAGAGCGCCAAGACCATTCAATGGGGAAAGGACAGTCCTTTCAACAAATGGTGCTGGGAAAACTGCATATGCAAAAGAATACAGTTAGGTGAATACTACTTACAAAAATTAACTCAAATGAATGAAAAACTTAAATGTAAGACCTAAAACTATAAAGCTCTCACAGGAAAACATAAGGTAGAAGCTATACAGCACTGGCTTTGGCAATGTTTTCTTAGATATGACATTAAAGGCATATATAACAAAATTAAAAAACAGATAAATTGGACTTCATGAAAATTTTAAAATTTTGTGCATCAAAAGACACTATCAACAGACTAAAAAAGGCAACACACAGAATGGGAGAAAATATTTTCAAATCATATTCATATATCTGACAAGGGATTAACATCACAGCTATATAAAGAACTGTAACTCAACAACAAAACAAACAACTTGATTCAAAAATGGGCAAAGATCTTGGATAAACATTTCTCCAAAAAAGATATTAAAATGGCCAATAAGCACATAAAAAAATGTTCGACATCACTAAGCATTAGAGAAATACAAATCAAAATTACGAGGTGCCACCTCATACCCATTACAATGGCAACTATCAAAAAACCAGAAAATACGTATTGGCAAGGATGTGAAGAAACTGGAATCTTTGTGCACTGTTGGTAGGAATGTAAAATGGTACAGCCACTGTGAAGAAAAGATTATGGCAGTTCATCAAAATTTTTTAATAGAACTACCAGATGATCCAATGATTCTACTTCTGGGTATTTACCAACAAAATTCAAAGCAGAGTCTCAAAGAGATATTTGTACACTCATTTTCACAGCAACATTCTTCACAATAGCTAAAAGGCGGAAGCCACCCAAGTGTCCATCGATGGATGAATGGATAAGCAAAATGTGGTATACACATACAACAGAATATTATTCCGCTTTATAAAGAAGGAAATTCTTACACATGCTACAACACAGATGAATCTTCAGACATTATGGTAAGTGAAATAAGCCAGTCACCAAAAAGACAAATAATGTATGATGATTTCACTTATATGAAGTGCTTCAAGTAGCCTAAATCATTGAGACAGAAAGCAGAATGATGGACATCAGGGCCTGGGCAGTGGTAGGAATGGGGAGTTACTGTTTAATGAGTACAGAATTTCAGTTTTACTGAAATGAAAAGAGTTATGAAGATGGATGGTGGTGACAGCTGGACAACATTATTAATGTATTTAATACCAACGAACTGTACGGTGAAAATGGTTAAGATGTTATATGTATTGTTTCATATTTTTAAAAAAGGAAAAAGCAACAACAAATAAAAGTTAAAATAACTACAAAAGGTCTAATCAAATGGAAGAATACAAACTACCATAGGGATAATTATAACATCATAAATGAAGCTGACTCTGTCTACTTAAATGGCCACATGAAGCTTCAGCTGGTATAATTATTATAGGTATGAGCCAACACACATATCTCTTTCCCAGGCTAAAAGTTTGGCAATAACTGAAAGACGTCCTCATATACAACTGTTAAAAATGTTAGCATCACTAAGTAAAAACGTCATACTCCATTTTAACGACTAAGAATCCTTTCCCACTGTGCTGGGATTACAGTGGCCTAGTTTATATGAGAATGTAAGCTTAACATTTTAATAAAGTTCAGCAACAATAATTATGAGTCCCCTTCTTGCGGTAAATCTCCAGAAAATCACGGCCTGGGTGAGCACCATTTACCTCCCTCTACTTTCAGCCCTGTCAAGGAACCATCAGGCAGGCTGTCTTTTACACAACCATCTTCTACATTCCCCAGGAAAAACCAAATGGACTTTCAATCCAGGTAATTGCATCTCCAATATTATATCCAACCATAACAGCTACTGGAATAAAAAAGAAAGGAAGAAAGGGAGGGAGGGAGTCAAGGAGGAAAGAAATAACCAATCTGTTGTTATAATATATATCATTAATGTAAGCTTTACCTATTTTATTATTTTATTTTATAATTTTTTTAAGAATAAGGTCTCACTCTGTCACCCAGGATGGAGTACAGTAGAGTGATTATAGCTCACTGCCTTCAACTCCTGGGCTCAAGCCATCCTCCCACCTTAGGCTCCCAAGAAGCTGGGACTACAAGCAAACACCACCATACCTGCCTACCTTTTTTTTTCTCGTTTTTGTAGAGATGGGGGTCTCACTATGTTGCCCAGGCTGGTCTCAAACCCCTGGCCTCAAGCAATCCTCCTGCCTCAGCCTCCCAAAGCACTGGGGTTACAGGCGTGAGCCACCATGCCTGGCCAGATTTACTTTAAATATAATCAACTACATCTTTCTCATTTTAGTTACTATTATTCCATAAGATTTAACAGAAAATAAAAACTAATTGAAGAAGAGTAAATAATAGAAAAATGTCCTCATTCAATCGTTAAGTATAAAAAGTAGCTCATAAAACAGTATGCGCAATATGATCTTAATTTTGCTTTTAAAACATATCTTTGATCACAAAGAAGAACAAAACTGAAAGAAAACTATTAAAGTGACACAGGACAAATGACCCCATTTCTTCCACAACAAATTACATGAAAAAAGGGAGAGAAGAGAAAATGCTACAGATTAAGAAAGACTTAAAAGAGACACGTGCGATGTGTGAAGGCTGCTTGGATCCTGATTCCCACAAACCAACGGTAAACTGACAATTTTGAAACAATAGAGAAAACATGGACTAGGGCTTACACGACTAGCTAGAGTACATAGTAAGTTTGTTAATGGTGATGACATTGCTGCTATTTTTTTAAGTGCTTCTCTGTTAACAAAAAATGACTGAAGTATTTATAAGTTAAATAGTATAATATCTGAAACTCCAACAAAAAAAAACACAAAAGCAGGAGAAAGACAGACAGAATGGCAAAATGTCCCTGTCCATGACTGTGGAAGCTAGATGATAAGTATATGGGGGCTCACTGCACTTTTCTCTCTACTTCTATGCATGTTTGGAAAATTCCATAGATAATAAGTAAAAGTGATAGCAGAGATAGTTACTTCTGGATGTTAGTGAAGACTGAGTGATCTGGTGGGAATTAGGTGATTTTTACTTTGATCTGTGTGCCATTAAGAACATCCAAGATTTTACACAACAAAGATGAGTTGCTTTGGTTACCTAAAAAACCAAATGTTACTCCTTTAGTAGACAGATAGATGGGTAGATAGGCAGACAGACAGTCAGATGGCCTTTCAATGCCCTGTTCGAATAATGCCACCTTCATGGATTCAATCCTCCCTCTATAAATGCCTCAATGCATTTACCTATATTTCTACTAAAGGCCTTATTATGTTTGGTCATTTATTATGACCATTTCCAACTATGTCTAATTCTCCTCTAGAAAAATAACTTGATTACGAGGAGGCATTTCTTTTTCATATTTCTATCCTGGCTAATACTAAGCAAAATGTTCTCTACATAATAGATATAAAATAATTATTTGCTTAATTAACTTTTCCACTAATAAATCCAGGGAAGAAACGATGTCAACAAACACAGAATATCTACCTTATAACTACAAAAGCTTTAAGGTTTTTGTTTTGTTTTTTTGAGACAGGGTCTTGCTTTGTCACCCAGGCTGGAGTGCAGTGGTGTGATCATGGCCCATTGCACCCTCAACTTCCCAAGCTCAAGCAATCCTCCCACCTCAGCCTTCCAAGTAGCTGGGACTACAGGTGCATGCCACCATGTCCAGCTAATTTTTTTTTAAGAGATGGGGTCTCACTATGTTGCCCAGGTTAGTTTTGAACTCTTTGCCTCAAGAGATCCTCCTTGGCCGGGCGCGGTGGCTCACATCTGTAATCCCAGCACTTTGGGAGGCCGAGGCAGGTGGATCATGAGGTCAGGAGATCAAGACCATCCTGGCTAACAAGGTGAAACCCCGTCTCTACTAAAAATACAAAAAATTAGCCGGGCGTGGTGGCGGGCACCTGTAGTCCCAGCTACTCGGGAGGCTGAGGCAGGAGAATGGCGTGAACCCGGGAAGCGGAGCTTGCAGTGAGCCGAGATTGCGCCACTGCAGTCCGCAGTCCGGCCTGGGCGACAGAGCGAGACTCCGTCTCAAAAAAAAAAAAAAAAAAAAAAAAAAAAGAGAGATCCTCCTTGAGCCTTTCAAATTACAGGATTACAGGTGTGGGCCATCACCCCTGGCCCAAAAGCTTTCATTTCAGGCCAGAACAGCCCTGAAAGTCCCTACACAAAGACAGATATTTATCAAATGTTACCTAGTCAATTTCTCAAAACATTTACTTTTCAGTTGACTGGAAAAAAACACTGGTCGGTAGCAGACAAGGGTCAGTTACTGAATTAAGCTATAGACTTAAAAAAAAAAAAAACCCTGAAAGAAAACAAAGTCCGTTAGCTCTACAGCAACCATTCACTATTTAACCTACTGAACGCTCATCCAGAGTGCCAATCAGACCGTTTTAATTAAGGAAACTATTACAGGCAGAACTCAAGGCTAGTCATGTGCTGAGACAGCAACGGTTCAGGAAACACCCCTGCTCTGAGAGGCTGATATCAGGCGGAAGGGCTGCCCACCCATACCACTGTGTTTCCCTTATCATCTACTCACTGAAGACCTTGGCCCATTTTGTGCAGATGTGAGTAGTAATGGCCTTCAAGCCAAGGACATTCAACGCTACATTCTCCTGCTTATTAAAAATCTTTTCCAAAAAGATACAATAAAGCCCTCCCCGCAGGAGCACCAAAAGCTCCAGAACGTGGCATGCTGAACTTCCCCACATTTAAGACTTTACCCACCATATGGCCTTAATTTTCCATACATGGTTTTGGGGAAAGGCACTTAAATACTAGTGAAGACATTTACAACTTCCTCTTATATATAAAATATGCTGAGGGATTGACAAACATTAAAATGAAGTCCAGGTTTTAAAATAAAATCCCCATCACTGTTTCCTAAGCCCTTCGAGAAACATTAGCAATTCATGATCAACTGGCAAATGCAAGCTTCTCCCAAGCTTCTTCTCCAGTTCTGCCGTGTGACCTGCTGTCTCAGAAGCCAGGTCTTCAAAAATGCTCATGTCACCCAACTTTTTAAGTCAAATAGGGACAGTAGGGGGTGGGGCTGAGCTCTGCACAATTCCTACCCTGACCTCCAACTACATCCACATAGTTCATGTTCTCTCTTCTTTATTTTCTGATTCCTTCCTTTAGACTTTTGTTCAAATCCACTATTAGCAAATTTTAAATATATGAGACAGTCAAGAAAGTGGGCAACATGGTACCATTATAAAATTACAATATACTACTATAGACAATCATACCCATGCAGATCTGGGCCCAAAAAAATAATCAGGTATTAAGAAATAAGGCACACCCCTCCAAAGACAACTTAATTCAAATACCTCTTACCATTTGCTCCAGTAGAATGAGTTTAAAAGAGGTAACTATTTGGCATGGGCAGCTGCTCTCTTATGTTCTGGAGAACATAAAAATAAAAGCTGAGTGAGAATAAGTTGTTCCTACTGAAGAGAAAAAGGGTACAACAGCATTAGTAAATACGAAAGAGTCAGATCACCATTCTACTGGCTGATAAAAATGTTTGTTAGGCTAAAGGATTTCCTATCATTTTCTTCTTTAAGAACAAAGAAATGGGCTTTGGATAATAAAAACGTGTAACAAAATAATTCTGAAGTGACCTCAGGCCATGTCAAACTCAATTCAAACTAGTCACAGCCAAAGATGAAAGGAAGATTCTCTAATCATCCCCTAGCTACTATACATTTTTAGTATTTTTATACTGTATTATAGTTAGCATTTAGAAAATAAAACTGTCTAGCACTGTTGACCCTTCAACAATACGAGTTTGAACTGTGCATGTCCACTTAAAAGTGGATTTTTTCAATAACAGTTACACCAAGTGTGCCTGCCTCTCCTGCCTCCCCTTCCTCCTCCTCCACCTCTGCCACTGGAGACAGCAAGACCAATCTCTTCTTTCCCTCCTCCTCATCAGCTTACCCAATGCAAAGACAATGAGGATAAAGACCTTTATGATCCACTTCCATTAATGAATAGCAAATATATTTTCTCTTCTTTAGGATTTTCTTTTTTTTTTTTTTTTTTTTTTTTTTTTTTTTTTGAGACGGAGTCTCGCTGTCGCCCAGGCTGGAGTGCAGTGGCGCAATCTCGGCTCACTGCAGGCTCCGCCCCCTGGGGTTCACGCCATTCTCCTGCCTCAGCCTCCCGAGTAGCTGGGACTACAGGCACCCGCCACCTCGCCCGGCTAATTTTTTGTATTTTTAGTAGAGACGGGGTTTCACCGTGTTAGCCAGGATGGTCTCGATCTCCTGACCTCGTGATCCACCCGCCTCGGCCTCCCAATAGGATTTTCTTAATAACATTTTCTTCTCTCTAGCTTATGTTATTGTAACAACACAGTATATAATACATATAACATACAAAATGCATGTTATTCAACTGTTCATGTTATTGGTAAGGCTTCTGGTCAACTGTAGGCTACTAGTAGTTAAGTTCTGGAGGAGTCGAAAGTTACATGCAGGCCAGGCACGGTGGTTCATGCCTTTATTCCAAGCACTTCAGGAGGCCAACGGAGAAGGATCACTTGAGGTCAGGAGTTCCAGACCAGCCTGGGCAACACAGTGAGACCATGTTTCTATTTAATTTTAAAAACTGTATTTTAAAAGTGTGTTTAAAGGAAAAGAAAAAAGTATGCTTATTCAATTCAGTATTTATATTCTAGAATAATGCTGCTCAAAAAATAATTTAAAAAAGAATGATGGATTTAATAAGGTACACATAAAACTATATATATACAAGGTTGTGTGTGTGTGCATGCGTGTGTGTGTGTGTGTGTGTGTGTGTGTGTGTAGATTTTTCTTTCTTTTAGAGTATAGAAATTGTTTTAGATATCCCTTAAGTAGAGAAATAGCACTTAGGAAGGAAGTATACACTTAGAAGGCGAAGAGTCATGTCACCAACAGGTTGGGAGAACTGTTGAGTCATGGCCTCCTCCTGTGTTGCCTGAGGAGACCTGAGTAAGAATGGATGTATAACAGAAGAATCTCCCACCTGACCTATTAGAGATACTGTACCAGCATTACCAGATATCACTTCTATTAAAAGAAGATATTTCAGTGCCCAGAGGTTCAAGTTATCAAACGAAGCAACTCAATTCAAAAGACAAGGTGTATTAAAACCCATAAAAAAAAAACAAAAACCATTTTTAAGAAATCCTAACAAGTAACTGAAACCCAAAATGCTCTGTCTTGAGTCATGAGATCCATCAGTTCTTGATATTGTCTGGACTTGCATCTAGAGCTAGATTGTAAAATCTTTTTAGGCATGTGTTAGATTTCTGTGAAAACTTTGTTTAAACGTAAACCTCATACCACACTATCAGTTTCTGTGTTAATAAAACTATAGATTTATTATACTAAAAAAAAAAAGAACAAAATACAAGGGGTAGCTGTATGACACAGAAGCTAAACAAGTGCCTGGCCTCACGGTAGTATACAGAACTTAAGGTGCCTGCTCAAAACTGTCATGTTTAAGTTTATCAACCAAGAGTTATTATTAAAATACCATTAATACATCCGGGCATGGTGGCTCACGCCTGTAATTCTAACACTTTGGGAAGCCGAGGCAGGCCGATCATCTGAGGTCAAGAGCTCAAGACAAGCCTAGCCAACATGGCGAAACCTCATCTCTACTAAAAATACAAAAATTAGCTGGGTGTGGAGGCACACGCCTGTAATCCCAGCTACTTGGGAGGCTGAGGCGGGAGAATCGCTTGAACCTGGGAGTTAGAGGTTGCAGTGAGCCGAGATCATGCCATTGCACTCCAGTCTGGGAGACAGAGTGAGATCCCATCTCAAAAAAAAAAAAATAATTAAGACATTTGAGAACTGCACTGAAGGTGCACATTTCAATAACATATAGCTATTCTGGAGGGAAAAAAAAAGTATATCTAGAAAAACAGCTTCCAAGATTGAGGTAAAAATCACAGGGCACTCAATAATATGTACTGACTTTTCTTCCCTCTCGAAGTACCAGAGCAGAGCTACATTCACAGAGCATTCCTGCAGGCTGCTTGCTTCACCATTAAGCAATTCTTGGCAGTTCCAAAGATGTTATGTTTTCAAAGACAGTTTTTCAGTTGTGTTGCTATTATAAGCCTGGATTTTTCAAATGGCTAAAAATTACAGATATCTAAAAATCTTAGATTCCACCTCTATTAAAGAAGAATGATGCTGGGAACGGTCAAATAAATGTAACCCAGAAAAGTGCCCTAATGTACTTTAAAAACATTTTCAGAGATAATGATTCCCAAATTTCCCTTACTGAAATTCAAGGAAGGTCACAAATAGCAAGCCACTTTAAAAGCAGTGCTCCAATTACCCATCCCCTAAGCTCTGCACAAAGGTTTATGGAGGGGAGATGGTCAGATAACTTGACCATCCGTTATAGGATGCAGTCACTCCAGAAGAGCTGACTCCTTAGGAAATTTTCTTCTGACAAAGCAACAAATGAGAAAAACTCCAAGGTCTTTGTTTCAGCATCTGGCTGAGATCAAGGTTAAGTATAATGAAACCTATACAACCCCAGAATTTAACATATGACAGTATTTTTGGCCTGTATAAAATACGTCTCCCTTAATCTGCATTAAGCTGTTGTTTTTCTCAATAAAAGAATATCCTTTTGTAATTGTTTAAAATGTTTAAGAAATGAGTAAGCCAGTACAGTCACTCGAAGAGCAATAGTAATGCATATACCAGTATACGTCAGTCAAAGGGTAGATCATCTGATCATTTCTCAATTATTCAGGAAAAGCCTGGCACCCCAAACTATACACCAATGCATTAGAGTTAACAAGATTCTTAGAACATGGGTTGAAGTATAAGCTCTCACCTAATTTCAAGAAACATAGAGAAGATTTTAAATGCATTCACTATGGAGGGAAAACATAAACATGTAACAGAAAACCTTCTTAAGTAGCCAGAAAATTATCCAAACTATTTCATCTGCAAAGATGACAACAATGAATTCAGAAATCAATGACTAAAACTGCACAAGCATTTCCCATATTTTCCTTTTCCACTTCAAAAAGGGAAAAGCCAGTGGGCAGAAAATATCGGACATTTGATAAATCAAAATTCTGCTATAAAGAGCAGGGTTTTTTGTTTTTGTTTTTGTTTTTGTTTTTTTTCCCTGAGATGGAGTCTCGCCCTGTCCCCCAGGCTGGAGTGCAATGGCACAATCTCGGCTCACTGCAACCTCCACCTCCTGGGTTCTAGCAATTCTCCTGCCTCAGCCTCCCAAGTAGCTGAGATTACAGGTGTGTGCCACCACACCCAGCTAATTTTTGTATTTTTAGTAGAGACAGGGTTTCACCATGTTGGTCAGAATGTTCTCAAACTCCTGACCTCAGGTGATCCATCCACCTCAGCCTCCCGAAGTGCTGGGATTACAGGCGTGAGCCACAGCGCCTGGCCAAATAGCAGGTCTTCTAAGAATGACAGTTTGAGTGACATTTCCTCCCTGCAATGTGACTTTGGAACTAATCCACCAACTCACCTTATTCCATTTCAAAGTTAGTAGTATATCTTGCTTTTGAGTGCAACTTCAGGTAATCTCTCAAAACCTAGATTAAAATAATTATGAACTTTATTAGTAGTTATTTCCAAATTTTGAAAAACACACAACTATAACTCATAGTAAGTAAAAGGGGAAAAAAATCACCACTACTAATCAAATCACAATTATGAAATTTTATACTTTGTCTCTAAAACCTTCTTTAATTGGTAATCTCTTTATGTGCAGCTCAATACACATTTATTGGGCTTTTGTTTTTTAGACGGTGTTTTGCTCTTGTCGCCCAGGCTGGAGTACAGTGGCAAGATCTCAGCTCACTGCAACCTCCGCCTCCTGGGTTCAAGCAATTCTCCTGCCTCAGCCTCCTGAGTAGCTGGGATTACAGGTGTGCACCACCACACCGGCTAATTTTTGTGTTTTTAGCAGAGACGGGGTTTCACCATGTTGGCCAGGCTAATCTTGAACTCCTCACCTCAGGTGATCCACCCGCCTCAGCCTCCCAAAATGCTGGGATTACAGGCGTGAGCCACTGCACTATGCCCCGCCTCAACACATATTTAAATTTAAGCCAACCAACAGCCATTCCCACTTAAACAACAAATTCTTGCTTGGCTATTCATTCAGTCTGTCCACAGACTGCTACTCAAAGATCTCACCCTGGAAGCTGTATGTATAGAAGAAAAAACAACAACAACAACAAAGTGATTTTGATGAGTTGGTCCATCACATGCCTATGGGAATCACTATTCCAAAATACTAGTTCTCTACAGGGAGCAATTTTGTACCCACAGGTGACATCTTGCAACATCTGGTAACATTTTTGGTCATCACAAGTGAAGTGGGGGGTGGGCACACTATTGGCATGTAATACACAAAAACCAGGGAAGCCACTAAACATCTTACAATGCACAGGACAGTCCCCTCCAACAAAGAATTATCCTGCCTAAAGCGAAAATACTGGTGAGGTTTAGAAACCCTGTTCCGAAGAAACCAAACACTGCATATTTGGAAATTCCACAATTCTCACACTGCTCATTTCAGATCACCTACTAAGCTCCCACCATGGTTGTATTTCCTATGAATGCTAAGCTTATTGGTTAAAAGAATACCCACACACATGCCCAATAGTAATCATCTACAGCACATGTACCAATTTCTAAAATGTATTAAATAAGTCAGACACGTCCATAAGAGCTTCCAATAAATAATTTTAAACACTATTTCAAACTATGTAATTGCCAAACTCTGTTCCCAATCACATAAAATGGAAGCTAAGAAGAATAAAAATCATCAGAACTTAGTAGTTTCACTCACAGATATTCCCAATTCCTACTGAAGACAAAAGGGGAAGTTCCTCTTCCCAGCCTATCACCCCGGACATTAGGCCTCCCACCTTTTATTCAGCTAAATAAAAAAGCACTTCAAACAAGACTTACCAAGGGCCTATCATGCCCTCACACTATGATCTCATGTAATACGGTAGAACAGAGCTCGGTAAGACCCCGCAACAGGCCTTTCCTACACTACCATAACCAAATCGTACAAATATCAGAAGAAAACCGTGGGTAAAATAAACCTCTAAAGAAGGAATGTCCAATCTTTTGGCTTCCCTGGGCCACAGTGGAAGAAGAATTGTCTTAAGCCACACATAAAATACACTAACGATAGCTGATGAGCTTTAAAAAAATTGCAATAAAGTCTCATAATGTTTTAAGGAAGTTTACAAGTTTGTGTTGGGCTGCATTCAAAGCCATCCTGTGCCACATGTGGCTCGTGGGCTGCAGGATGGACAAGCTTGCTCTAAAAGATATTCTGAGAGTCAGATATCTAAGATAACAAAACTTGCTGTTTTTACACAACTGGCCTGCAGCTTGCACCCATAGAATAGGTGAAGAAATCTATAACACTCAAAATATGTACTTCGTTTTGTTAATCTTTAACTAATGAGCTACAACTAATTATATAAATAAGACATGGCTGGCAGCTGATCTGCAGTAGTAATCCACTTAGGAACATGAATAAACATGCAAATTTTAAACTCAAGCAAAAGGACAGGATTTATGAACACACTTAGAAAGATTCCATCAGAATTACTCCATTCTAACTGAACAAGATTTCCATATGTGGCAAATGGGCTTATTCTAATTAAAGTCTGACTTTGTCTTCTGAATCCTCAGTGTACACAGGAACTACCCAAATCAGGCTGAACTACAGTAACTCGAAGCAGCAAGCGGGCCAGGGGCTGTGGGTAGTGGGGCAAAGACCGGTGCTCGTACCCCAAAGCACCAGAAGGTTTGGCAGTCCAGGTAGAACCTGTGCCAGAGGCAGGACTCCAGTCGGGAGCTCCCACTCATTGCAACCTCTGGCCCAGCCAACTCCTTGGGAAGCTTTGCTGAATGCTATGCTTATCCAAAGCTGAAACGGAGTAGAAGAGGCTAACATAAGTTCTAGATTCAAGGTGCCCGTGAAATCAGTGTAGAGACTACCACACCTCCACTACAGAGAGAAGACAACTGGGGAAGGCAGCCCCAGTTAAGAGCTAGAAAAATAATGACAGGTTCAAGGACAACTTCTCAATATCTATCAATGGCTAAGAGAACAAAGCAATGCTACAAAGAAAGGAAAGCCCAGAAATTACTAGGAAGGTTCAGAAGTTGTAGTGCACGATATGAAATTTAACCTCTACCCCCTTTTTCTAGATTTAAGTAAGTCTTTAAATAAAAAACTCATAATAAAGTTTCAAAACATAAACATTTTTTCCCTCTCTTAGCAGCAAAATATATTCAGTTCCAAAAAAGAAAGGTTGCTCAATTTCCTGTCAAAAGCAATCAGGAGAAGGCCACCTACACTGTAAAAGCAGCAAGAAAAAAAAAACAAAATGCTAAAGAAAAGTCTGATGTGTGGGCATATACAAAGTGCAATGTAACTACCACCCTGAGTTTTCAAAAGTTCTTTTCCCTGATCATTCTGAGAAATATGAAAATTAGTATAACTGCTAAAGAGAAGTTTGACCTCCAGCCTATTTAAGGAAAACAAGCCCTATGATGGATCTAAGTCGCCTCAAAGAAAGACAGGTATGGAGGGAGGGGGGAAGGAATTCTATGTATTTAACCTATGGTTTTCTGTACCAAAGGAAAAGGGGAGATTCTGCCAAAGAGACAATTTGCATGTAATGTTCTCACAGAAAGAACACTATTCTGACAATGAACCTTCTCCCTATAGCTAACCTTACCCCCCACCCTGACTCACACAATTTTGTGAACTAGAACCATCTTCATCCAAGGCTGAGTATTCTTAATCTGAAAACATGAAATCGGAAATACTCCAAAATCTGAAACGTTTTTAATGCCAACGTGACTTTTAGTGCTCAAAGGAAATGCTCATTGGAGCACTTCAGATTTCAGGTTTTCCGATCAGGGATGCTGAACTGGTAAGTATACTACAAATATTTCAAAATCCAAAAAAATAAAAAATCCTAAACACTTCCGGTCCCAAGCATTTTGGATAAGGAAAACTCAACCCATATGTTTAACCCTAAACGTTTAGGGGCCAACCATTCACAAATATGTATGTGAGCTGACTAGATTATGAATTAGCTAGAGCATCACATCCACCACTCTACCAAATGCCCCTCACCCTGCTTATACTTCCTGAAAATTTGAAATTCTAAGACATGCAATCAACAGCCCAGCACTTTGAAAAGTAAACTAAAAGCCTACTGAAATATGCTTAGTACTAAGGTAGACATAGTGTGATGAAATAAGAAATTGCTTTAATGGCTCACCAGCGGATTGAGAAGAAAAGAATAGCATACACAAAGTAAGTTAAAATTAAATACAGTATTGTCATTGAATACAATGAGCTGCCATATTTTTGTAAACTACACTTTCCATTCAAAGAAGCAGTTTGGCACAAAGGCAAAACAGATGAAGGAAATAAATAATGAGCCAAGAATGTATTAATGTGATGATTATAAATATTAAAAAACAGCATACCGAAAGACAAATCAAGATGTATAATCACAGGAAGGCCACCATGGTCGGGTAGTTTCAAGACAAGGCAGCCCAAAAAGCAAGCCCCGTAAACCTTATAAATGACTTTGATAAGCTAACAATTCTGTTACTAAGTCAATTATGAAAAGTTTTGTTTTGTTTTACTTTATAACTTCAGACCAACCTACAAAAATGTTGCAAGAACACTACAGATAACACTTTTTTCCCTGAACTATTTGAGACTAAGTAGCCAATGTGATGGCCTATCACTCCCAGAGTTTAGTGAGTAATTTCTATAAACAAGGGCATTCTCCTACAAAACTACAATGATGACCATCAAAAACCAGAAATTAACACTGATGTTATATAGTCATCTACTTTACAGACCAGATTTGACTTTCTCTGATTAGCCCAATCCTTTTACTAAAAGGTCCTTTCTCCAAAAGGACCCAGTCCTTTTACTAAAGGTGAAACCTAGTTTTCACCTTTCCCTTCCCTGTAAGAGTAGTAAATCTGGCTCCCATTAACTTCAATGTTTATTTATTGGATTTATCCCTCACACCACATGTCATATAATGCCTTCCCTACCTGTGATCCTGTATCAGAAAGAGCCAGTCTCTCTAACCAAAGGACCCATAAGGGGGTGGCCTGGCAAAACAAAAAGTTTTAGACAAAAACCACTCTACTCTAGCCACACCACGGAAAAAAAATCTTCAACCCCACACCCACATCCCATCATCAAAGGCCAGGTGGAGAGCCAAGAGTTCTACACTCACCTGGTTCCGATGAGGCACCCTTATTTATAGACTACATGTAAGAAGACACCATTTTTACAGAGCCCAAATGGGCAAAACTAAGAATATATTACTTACAGATATACTCACTTTAAAAAGCAACAGAATGTTGAACCTGAAGTTCAGGACAGTGTTATTTCCAGAGGGAAAGAGAAGGAGGGGATCACGGGGGAACACACAGTAGCTTCAAAGTAAAACCTGCAAATGCTAAGCACGAGTTCCTCGACATACAAGATCTGAGCCTCACCAAACCATGAGGAGGTCTTTAGGAGGATCCCGATTTTACATCAGAGATTTGAGGGCTAAAAAGGTTAAGCCCACTGCCTGTGGTCACACAACTAATAAGCAAGTGCTCAGATGCAAGCCCACAGCTGTCTGACTCCAGTCTCTTCCTGCTCACTCCCTTCCTCAACACAGAGAAAAGACAGGCAGGAGAATTGCAGCTGTGATTCTGAACCAACTGGTGGCTTCTAAGGAAGAGATTCCTACTGTACTTCTAAACCATTTCCCAGAGAGTTTTGAGTAAAGGCAAGTGTAGTTCCAAAACCAGGGGGGAAAAAAATCTTCCTGAAAGCAAGGAAAGGGGAAAGGGGGTGGAGGCACAAACCTGGGCTCTGCTTGGCACTGCAAGAGCTATGTGAACAATCCTCGAGCGAGAGTCCCCATCACATTCCACAGGCTACCAAGTCAGGCCCAATTCAGTTACTAAGTAAAGGCCCTGGGAAAATCTTATTACTCGTTGTTTTTGTTTTCTTTTATTCTGAAACTGGGGGACAGGAGACAGAAGACCAGCAAACCATTCGTAAAATTCTAAACCTAGCCTAAATATGGTAAAACTATAAACTGCTTAGCCCACAGCATGAAACATGAAATTAGTGACAAAATTTGAGTCTCTTTGAAGAATTCATATAAAGGAATACGAAAGCAGAACAATGCTTCTCTGTAGCAAAGACCAGACACTTGGGAAGCTTAAATACCACTCTACTATCTGAGGATGTTTTAAAACTGATTTCTAAAAACTAAAAAGATGGAACTACATAAAAAGATAACAGAAGCAAAAAAAATATTATTGTCTTCTCAAAACATCAGAAATAACTGTATTCTAACTGCATTTCTGGTAGAGGTATCTCCAGAACCCATCAAAGTCATTAATAACAACTCACATCACCTGGAAAAATCTCATGATCAGCACTGATGATTTTGTAACCTTAGTTCATCTTTTCTAAGACTATATTTAAAAGGAAATCAAGTCTTTCCATTGTTGACTTTCCATCACTGGTGGAATATAATTGAATCCAAGATAATTTTAAGCCTAGCTTCGCCTACAAAAAAACAAAACAAAACAAAAAATCCTGCTAAGCTCCATCTCCCCCTGCTGTCAACCTGTCCTTTCTAAAAAGAAAAAGTCTAGAAACAAGGCCATACACCAAAGAAAATGCTACAGTATAAAAGAAATAAAAGGACATACAAAATGGTATAAAAATAATTCACCAGCCTGGACAACATGGCAAAACCTTGTCTCTACAAAAAACATAAATTAGGCAGGTGTGGTGGCACACGCCTGTAGTCCCAGCTACTTGGGAGGCTGAGATGGGAGGATCATTGGGGCCCAGGTGTTCCAGGCTTCAGTCAGCCCTGATCATGCCGCTACACTCCCAACTGGGCAACAAAGTGAGACCCTGGGAGGGAGGGAAAGGAGGGAAGGGAGGGAAGGAAGGAAGGGGAGGGAAGGGAATGGAGGGAAGGGAGGGAGGGAGAGAAGAAAGGGAGGGGAAGGAAGGAAGGAAGGAAGGAAGGGAAAGAGAAAGAAAGAAAAGAAAAGAAAATTCAAAATTCATGCAAACTTCGTGTTGCAGCCTAAAACTGTCTACAGTATATCAAAGCAAAGGCATGTAAATTCATCCTCTAAATACAATAAGCAGGTGAGAAGCAAAATCAAAAATAAATCTCACTAGATAAAAATGGAAAGCATTTAACACACAATCGTACAAGGTGAGGAGTATTTTTTATTAAAAGCTTTTTAGTTACTTTCTTCCACCTCCCAGATTTGAGCAATTCTACTGCCTCAGCCACCCGAGTAGCTGGGATTACAGGCATGCGCCACCACACCCAGCCAATTTTTTTTATTTTTAGTAGAGGCAGGGTTTCTCCATTTTGGCCAGGCTGGTCTTGAACTCCTGACCTCAGGTGATCTGGCTGCCTGGGCTTCCCAAAGTGTTGGGATTACAGGTGTGAGCCACCGCGCCCAGCTACTTTAGTTACTTTCTTTATGAAAAGTGATCAGGTGCTAATGAAATCAGCATCTGGCATTATAAAGATAAGAAGTTATCCCAAAGAATATCTCAATGAAGAATGCTGAATAAATTCATCCACAGGCACTTGTTTCGTTCATCCTACTGCACTAAGCCTAAGTGGTCACAACACAACTAACAATTATCCTTGAAAATTAAAGGAGAATAGCCCAGCTTTAAAACAAACTTAAAATCTAGAAAAGAAAAAATATATTACTTCAACTTCAAAAATGGGAAAATCCTGAAACATACTGAAGAATTTCTTTGTAAACTCCTAGATAATGAATTTTGGGTAAAAATCAATATGGCTTATTAAAAAATAAATCCCCCCAAGGTAATCTAATTTACTGTTATTGAGGCAACCCTCTTATCAAGGGACCACAAGAATTGTATTTCTTATCTTAAATATTGATTTGATAACCATGAAGACACGAGAAAGGTGTTCTTCCCAGAAAAGCACATCCCAATGGTTCTTTGACCCCAAGTCATAAAAATTATTCTTATTCTTCCTGTCCCTGTAATTCTAAACATAAAATTTCTGCAAAGACAGAGACAAGCAAATGAAATGGCTGAAAAAAAAGGCAAAGAAGTGATGACAAGATGTCAGTGGCACCCATATAATCATTATAACCTTGCAATATATACAGCATATCAGAAATTTTTATAGGTTAGTTATCTTCATTTTTGAGGCTTCTCCATCTCAGCAGAAGTTCATCTTCCCAGTTGCTCAAGCCAAAAACCTACAATTCATTTACATTCTTCTTTCACACCCCACATCCATTCTGTGAAGATCTATAAATTCTACCTCCCAAAGACCATCTTAACTCCTTTACTTCTCTCCATCTCCACTGTCTTCACATTGGTTGAAGCCATTGTTATCTCTCGACGAGACGCTACCCCAGATTCCTCATTAATCTTCTTTCTGCCCATGATCATTTTCCACAGAGTAGTCAGACTGACTTGTTAAAAGGTTAGTAAACTACATCTTACTATTCCCCTGCTTAAAAGCCTCTAACGTGTTCCCATGGCCTCAGATATCAAGAAATGTGAAGAATGTAAAAATTCTGCCCTACATGTGAGATAACAAGTTAGCCTGCCACACAGCTATATAGATGCCTGTGGAAGACATGAGATGCCAGGGTCAGAGATAAAAGACATCATTACAGCAGTAGCAGTAGCCAAAGTATCAGTATTTTTTGGTGCTAGTCCCTTAAGCCTCAATTCCCACCAGGTGACACAAAGAGAACAAGATGACCTCAGCACAACAGCAGGTTGTGTCACAGTAGAGTAACTCCGAGCTTAGTGAACTGAAATATTTTGTAATGGGCAGTAAGCTTGCCTGGCCTTTACCCCAGAAGGGGCATTCTCTTTCTCTTCCAAGGCCATTCACTATACAAATCATCCTTGAAAAGATCATCCAGAAGAAAGACAGTCAATGTACAAACACAAGAGACAAGTGGAGAACTGTCCCCCAACATTAGAGTAGGAGCCAAGTTTCTTGCTATGGTCTATAAGGACCTACATGATTAGTTATTTCTCTTCAATTTCATCTGGAACCTCTGTCTCCCCAGCATACTCACTTTAGCTCCACTGGCCATCTTTGATGCCTTCCAATGAGCCAAGTTCTTTCCTGCCTCAGGTCCTCAGCCTGCACTGGTCCTTTTGTGAAAAATGCTCTTTGCCTAGCTTAGGTGTCACTTCCTCAGAAGGACCTTTCCTGGTCAATCTATCTACTTAAGCAGCTATCCTCACTTGTTATTACCTTTTTACCACTTTGCTCACTCATTCATTTGTGCAATAAGCATTTACTGAGCACCTACTATGTACCAATCATTGTTACCATAGGCACAATAATTACTTTTGATACTTGTTATTTACTGAGTCTTCCTCAAGGTGGAAACCTTGTCTTTTTATTCATCCTTAAATGCCTAGAGCTTAAAATTGTACATTCATTAAAAACTCTGTTGAATGAATGAACTATTACAATACCAAGAACCAAAACATTTGCAGATCGGTATGGGAAAGCAGCATGACACTGCACAAGAAGTATGGAATTGGAGCTAGACGTCCTAAATTCAAACCCCAGAATCATCATTTAATGGTGCCCAAGGAATTCTACTAAGTTCTTTGTAAAATGAAATTCTTTCCTACCTAACTCACAAAATTATTGTTAGGATCAAATAACAGAATTTAAATGGACGGCCTTGCAATGCTAAATGTAATTCAAGGCCTGTAACAAATTAATAGTTAATACATGCCTACTGTTAGGCTGGTCCTAGTACTGAAACTTACAATAAAAATGTATAACTTAAGTGAAATCAGAAAACACCTTGTCCTTTAATAAACTTGAAGGGGAAAAATGGTTCTTCCCCCTAGAACCTTGGGCTCTGTAGCCCAGGCTGGAGTGCAGTGCGGTGGTGCAATCTCTTCTCACTGCAACCTCCACCTCCTGGGTTCAAGCGATTCTCCTACCTCAGCCTCCTGAGTAGCTGGGATTACAGGCGCCTGCCATCAAGTCCAGCTAATTTTTGTATTTTTAGTAGAGACAGGGTTTCACCATGTTGGCCAGGTTGGTCTCGAGCTCCTGACCTCAGATGATCTGCCCACAAAGTGCTGGGATTACAGGTAGGAGCCACGGCACCTGGCCTAGACATGCTTTTAAAATTTTCAGATAAAAGTGAGTTGCCTTTACCTGATCTTGATCCTAAAATACTAAAAGAATGCTTTTTGGTTACCAAAGTTATTTTTAAGCAAGCCAATCCAATGCAAATTTACAAAAAGTTGACTATAGTTACACCCCTGAGTGCCAACCTTCAAAACAGAATTTTTAGCTTTCTGGCAAAAGTCATGAAACTATAAATTTTAAGTATTAATTTACTGACTTTAACTGAAACCAAAACAGTCTCTTCACTGTGATGTGGGTGGGTGGGTGGGTGGGTATGTGTGTGTGTGTGCAGTCAAGGGAAAGTAAGCTTCATCCTACAATAGATATAAAATAGTAGTTTCAGAGGCAAGGCACCAGGTGGCCTACAGGAGGAAATACAGTGATCATACTGAAGTGTTAGCAGAAGACTGGGACTGGCAACCAGACTACAAACCAGACCATCAACTCAGACAAGCTGCACAGCTGGCTTGAGCTCACCCATCCACAAGCTCATTTACTATAACCTCACAATAAAATTACTCAGAATTTAATTTTGAAGGGTACTGCTTCTATGATCTAACACTGAAGTATAAATTGATAAAAAGGATAGCCATTTTAAAAAAGTAGAATGTGAAAACAATATGATTAAGATTTTTTTTTTTTTTTTTTTTTTTTTGAGACAGAGTCTCAGCCTGTCACCTAGGCTGCAGTGCAGTGGTGCAATCTTGGCTTACTGCAACCTCTGCCACCTGGGTTCAAGCGATTCTCCTGCCTCAGCCTCCTGAGTAGCTGGGATTACAGGTGCCTGCCACCACGCCCAGCTAATTTTTTTGTATTTTTAGTAGAGACGGGGTTTCAACATCTTAGCCAGGTTGGTCTTAAACTCCCGACCTCATGATCCACCTGCCTTGGCCTCCCAAAGTGCTGGGATTACAGGCGTGAGCCACCGCGCCAGGCCAAGATTCTTTTTATGTAACATTTTTCAAACTCATTATACATATATGTAAATAACTAATAGGTACACTGTGCTAGCAAAAAGAAGGAATATGAATTGGTACTTCTAAAACTTAAACTCAAAAAGAAAATATTGAGGCAGAGAAGTACATGAAAAGTCTGTTTGGCACTGCTATGAAAGATACCCAGTTTAAGAAGAATGGAGACAGATGATCTACAATGAACATATAAGTGGCATTAATAGGGGCACATATTTCAATATATATAATTATATTCAGAAGCTTTTCATTATTCATGTGAAGGTCTCTCAAAAACGTGCATCTTTACATGTTATTTTAAAGATGGCTACCTATTCCAAATGTGGAGGGAGAGGGGGACAGCGGCAGTTATAAAACTGTTCACACAGTCCTCAATAACCACAAATACTATTATAATAGTAAAAATAAAATCTAGGACATCTAGAAACTTCCTCCTTGATATTAATTTTAAATACCAAATATCTAATTGTCTTCCAATTAAGTAATTTCCCTTATAAATAATAATGATAGTGTCTCCAATATGCCAGGCACATATTCTTTACATCACATAACCAATACAACAATCCTAGGACATGGGCATTATCTCTATTTTAGGAAGGAGTATAATAATCAGTGAAGTTTTAAATCTTACCCAAGGCCAGGAACAGTGACTCATGCCTGTAATCCCAGCACTTTGAGAGGCCAAGGCGGGCAGATCACATAAGGCCAAGAATTCAAGACCAGCCTGGCCAATATGGTGAAACCCTATCTCTACTAAAAATACAAAAATTGGTCAGGTGTGATGGTTCACACCTGTAATCCCACCTACTCAGGAGGCTGAGGCAAGAGAATCACTTGAACCCGGGAGGCGGAGGTTACAGAGAGCTGAGGTTGCACCACTGCACTCCAGCCTGGGAGACAGAGAGAAACCTTGTCTCAAAAAAAAAAAAAAAATTTACCCAAGATAAATTAAGAAGTGGTGGCACTGTTATCTAAACCCAAGACAATCCTATTCCAAATCCTTGCCTTTTTTATACAATGCCATCAATATATTGCCTCTCAATAATAAGTTAATTTTCAGTGTGTTCCCAGCACTATATGAATGAATGAGACTCATTATTTCATCTAATTCCTATAATACTCTTGCAAGGTAATTATTAGCCATATTTTTTTTTTATTTGAGAAAAGACTCCTAACAGTTAAGTAACTTGGCCAACGTCATACAGCTAACTTAATAACGGGACATGCAGGGATCCCACCCTAAGTCGCTTGATACAAAGCCTAAGTTTCTACCATTGTATTATGCAGCCTCCACCTTATATTATTTACAATAATTGTAATTTAGGCATAATTTATAAATTATTAGTTTACTGTTGACAATGCTACATAAAAATGCATGTTACTAACAACAAACTGTTAAAATGCATATTTTATATTTTTTCAGAAAAAAACTGGAAAAACACACAAATAAAAAATCTTATATTTATGAGTGATAAGATTACTGGTAAATTTTTTTATTTCTGTTTTTCTGGTTTTTCCTTAATTATGATATATAACTTACCAAAAGTTAATTTTTTTCTTAGCATTCATTTAACATTTTATATTTTTAGTTATGCCTATCTGCCTTAACTAAATATAACTTTTGCTAAAAAATATTGGGTTAAATGGGAACATTAACTGAGGAAAGTAATATAAAGAAAAATGTTTTAGAGTACACACAAAAAAGCTACATTTCAGGACAGGTATGTTTCTTTCTGTTTTCTGGAACCTATCAAAACTAAATTCTGATTGTAAAACATGATAAAGTTTAATATAACTGCAGAGTTGAACAAACAGACGAACAACAAAGAAAAATACGTCATACAATTAAATCAGACAGCTTTTAAGTAACACTAAAAAAAAAAAAAGCAGCCTTTTTATTTTATATTTATCCAAAAAAGAATAAAGAAAGTAAAAAAGAGGTATTCAGAATCCCATTAACTTGGAGGCAATGTTCAAGGAAAAGTACTAAAACTAGCCAAGTCAGTGTAACTTGAGAAGAACACCCTTGGAAACTACAGCACAAAATCATCTTGGAAAAACATCAGTTTTAGTGACTCTTCGGGCATTTGAGCAGATTAACAGTAATCTGAACAAACTACTTAGTGGCTCTGAAATGTTGCTTAAGCTAAACAACAAATCAGAAGATGAATACCCATAAGCAATCAAATTTACTTTTCAAAATACATACTCTTCTCATTTTGCTCAATGACCCCATATCATGCTCACTAAACCTCTTTGGAAGCACTGCTCCTTCGTTGTGGAGGCTGCTGCAGTAAGTGCAACCTGAAAATGGGAGGTACATAAATTTCATTTCCCTAAAGGAAACCACCACTCTACTACTCACTGCGTAATCTGACAAGAATTTAGCATTTGTCTTAGAAGCCATCAAGTGATATGCACTCCAACAGAAGCACAGAATCAGGAGGGTAGAAAAGGAGAGCTTCAACTTTTTCCAAAATGTTTTAAGACCTGAAGCAAATACGACAAAACATTAAGATCAGATGAAGCTGGAAGGCATTATATTATTCCTTATCCTTTCCAGTTTGTTTGAAATATTTTAAAATTAAAAACAGTAATGTTTAATATGTATATATTAACATATATACATATTAACATATATATGTATATATGTATATATTATACAGGTTAACACAACACTCATTCCTCCTAGTATATTTGAATCAATAACACATACATACATACAATCTCAACATCCCTCCAGCCTTATCTGTGCCGCTTGACCACCCAAGGCAGCCACTGCTGACGTGAATACCAAACATTCCCTAAGATTCAATTTGCTCCTTTGCAAAGCATGAATTCATAAAAAGTGCCATATGATAGGATAAAAAAATAAAAAATGCTTTATGTAATGATGCCAAAATAGCCTTAAGTCCCGAGATGGTTTATGTGGATGCCTTCAATCCATTTTTAAAATGAAAATAAGTAGGTTTACTTCTTGAAATGGCACAATTCCAGAACAGATAGTCCTAATCCCCCAGAGAAAAGCACAGGTTCTCAAGGCACCTTACAAAGTATGCCACCTACTTTTCACACCAGAAAAGTCACTTTTGGTATTAAGATGACAAGAAGATATATTAATGGCAAGCTCAGACCTTTAAAATGTGAGTTCTTGGGCTGGGTCTGGTACCTCAGCTGATGCCTGTAATCCCAGCACTTTGGGAGGTGAAGGCAGGCAGGCAGACTGAGCCCAGGAGTTTGAGACCAGCCTGGGCAACATGGTGAAATCCCAACTCTAAAAAAAAAATACAAAAAATACATTTTGTGAGGCCGAGGCGGGTGGATCACTTGGGGTCAGGAGTTAGAGATTAGGCTAGCCAACATGGCAAAACCCCGTCTCTACTAAAAATACAAAAATCAGCCAGGTGTCATGGTATACACCTGTAATACCAGCTACTCGGGAGGCTGAGGCAGGAGAATCGCTTGAACCCGAGAGGTGGGGTTGCAGTGAGTCGAGACTGCGCCACTGCACTCCAGCCTGGGTGACAGGGCAAGCATCTCAAAAAAAAATAAAATAAATAATAATAATAATAAAAGGTGTGGTGGTTTATACCTGCACCTGTAATCCCAGCACTTTGGGAGCAGAGAAGAGAGGATGGTTTGAGGCCAGGGATTCAAGAACAGCCTAGGCAACATAGCAAGGCCCTATCTCTACAAAATAAAATTCTAAAACCTAGCCAGGTATGGTGGTGTGCACCTGTGGTCCAAGCTACTCAGAAGGTTAAGATGTCAGGATTGCTTAAGCCCAGGGGTTTGGGGTTATAGTGAGCTACGATAGTACCACTGCACTCCAGCCTAGGCAACAGAGCAAGACCCTGTTTCAAAAACAACAGCAGCAACAAAAGTGCATTCTTAACTCTCTTCTCACTGAAAGAACCAGAGCCCACATTTGTATGGTGCTTTTGACTACATAGGCAAAAGACACTACGTGGAAACTGCTCTCATTTACAGGAAACGGATGGGGTGGATAATACAAACATCATCAACTGCCTCCCTCTTCCCTTCACTAGAATTTAAGAAACATTTGGTTAGTGACAAAACAAAAACTTGAAAAGCAGAAGTTCACAGCTGAAACAGGACTTGAATATGCATCAAGGAACATGTTATGAGCATCATAGTGGTCAGTCCTAAATGACATCATTTCAGCTGTGTGTTTCCTTATTCTCAAAAATAAGTGCTAAACTTAGTTGCCACTCCTCAATGAAAGCTGAGATCTATCTCCACCCTCACCAGCCAAACAGGTTAGATTTTAATTAAAGTGCAATTATTACTTTATTTAAGAATATGTATTTACTTTAATTCAAACACTTATGAAACATCTATTGGGTATAAGGTTCTGAGCAAAAAGCTGTGGAGCTCCAAAGATCATGATGATCTTGAACTTCCTTTTGAAAAGTTCACAACCTAATTCACAGAGAAAGATATGTAAAAGCAGCAAGGACACAAAGTGTAAATAGGTACCACTTCAAGGACAGCAAAAGACCACAAAGTTCTACTTTGTCCTTACTATCTATCTGGTGTCTGTCATCTAGCTTTGGCCTCACCCTTCAGAAAGCCAGGGAACTCAGGTGCCTACTTCTACATCATTTCTGGCATCCATGAACTTGTGTGCTATCAGTCATTCCGAGATTACAAAGATGATCATCAAATCTCAGCATCCCAAGAGTGTCAGCCACACAAGGCGTGTCACTCGGAGTCACTGCTCATGTGTAACTATCTACTTTTAAATACAGGGAATACATTAATCTGAATGAAACTTGGAGGACTTGTAGTTCTATCAGGTAGTTTAAGTGAGTACGGTATTTATTAATGCAAAAGAAAATGCTACAATTCATTTTCACTCAAACCCAAAGTATCAACATTCACTAGGTGAACCGCTGTTGACAAAAAATATTGCCATGATTGTAGTGAAAACATAATTTTATGCACAAAAATAGTTCAGAACTTTCAAGTAATACCTGGAACATAATAACCTTTGAAAATTAATCTAAAGAAATGCAATTAAATTTTGGTTATTTATGCTAACACGGTGAAACCCCGTCTCTACTAAAAATACAAAAAATTAGCCGGGTGCAGTGGCAGGCGCCTGTAGTCCCAGCCATTCGGGAGGCTGAGGCAGGAGAATGGCGTGAACCCAGGAGGCGGAGGTTGCAGTGAGCAGAGATAGCGCCACTGCAGTCCGGCCTGAGCAAAAGAGCGAGACTCCGTCTCAAAAAAAAAAAAAAAAAAAAAAAATTTTTTTTTTTGGTTATTTAATTCCAGTTAGGCCATCAACCTTTCAAGAAAAAAAGAAACTCTGTGTGGGAATTTGTCACATCTTATAAAGGTCAATTAAAAGTAGAACACAAACTCTGCCACCTAAGATGCTAAAAATGCCTGTGTACTTACATAAGATGTACAAACAAGATGAAATAGTGGCTTTTATGATTAAAAGGCTGCCTGAACAAAAGAAAGTCTGAATACTTGGCAAATAATACTAACAAAGCACTACTCCACTAACAACCAAACTGCAGAGAAAATAGTTCATTTGATGGAAGCAACTAGAAGGGCAAGGAGAGAGACTGAGGCATTGGCACTGGAAGGCTGGAAGGATTCCATGAAGTTTTTAAATGACCTGCTCAGGAGCTTAACTTAGCCTGCAGGCAGTGAGCAGCTACCAAAAGGTTTATTAGAAATTGTCACAATCAAAACCATATGTGCCTGTATGTGTGCACACACACACACATTATTCCCCACCCACCCCCCAAAAAATTTCAATAGTATTGTGAAAGACAGCCTGAAAGAGGAAAAATACTGAATAAAGAAATACTAGTAATAAGATACTATTATATATATATAAAGAAATACTAGTTAATAAGATTGCTGCAATTTTTTAGGTGAGACATGACTGGGATCTGAACTGGGGTAGTGGGAATAAAGAAAGAAATGAATGTAAGGGAGACTTAAGAGATAAAACTGACAACACACGGAAAACAATTAAATGTCATGATGGAGGAAAAATGGGACCAAAGTCAACTAAAATCCTTGGCTTGAAGGACTGGAGAAGATGGCTATACTGTTGTCCAAAGAAAGAAACTGCACCATCATAAAATAAATACACTATTCTCAGAAACAGTATTTCTATCAATATTACATTCAACTGACCTTTGAAGTTATTAATAGTTATCTTCAACAGTCAGAATCATCCATTAGCCACACAGAGGCCGGTCCTAGAAAGAGACTCAGCTCCAAATGGGCATTTTGAAATTTGTCCATTTAGTTTACCTTAAAAAACGTCAGTAAATAATTTAAATTTGTCAAAAAATATAAGATATTCTACAGAAGAAACATTCCACAAATGGAACTAACTCAAGATTCTCCATAATGAATAGCATTTGCTCAATGAATTTCATAATAGAATCTAATTTTAATGCTCTTGTTAATGAGTTTTAGCATTAACTCATTACATGGCATTTTTAAATATAGTAAACCTTTTTAAATGACACATGTAGCATAATATAACATATGATAAACTACTAACAATGCTACTCAAAACAACATAAAATTATAGATACACAACGTAATTAGGGTTAATGCTTAAGAGCAAAAAAAAAGTTTTTACCAAAAAATTGTATCAGTTTTACCATAACACCTTCTTAATATTCAACCTCAGATAACTGACCACTTGGACCAAACTGCTTTGCAGGACATGCTCGTTTCTAAAGATTAACGGACTGATCTTGAACTGAGAAAAAACACACAAACCCAAGTCAACAAGTCAAAGTACAAGGGTAAATGAACAAACAGGGGACAATAGTTGGCCAGGAGCATAAAAATTAGGTAAAAATAAGTGAGGCAAAAGAAACTAACACATTTTGAGGGTCTGCTAGAAGTCTGGCACTGGGCTGAGAAACCCAAGTGAACTGATTTCACAACCCAGACACTCCCCTCTTCCCCACACTCACTATATAAAAAGTCTTTAGATAATTGGGTATAAACTTCAAGAGGGCAGAGAAGGCTTGGTAACCAGCATATTGATGGGATCTAGAACAGCACCTGGCACAGAATAAGTCCTCAATAAATATTTACTAGATGCATGCATAAATGGATAAGTGGCTAGATGGCGGAAGGATTTTTTTTTTTAAATGATCTGGACCATGCATACAGAAGGAGATCCTGACACCTTAAGCAAGATAGGACAAGAAATGTTCTCCAAGCTACTATGTTCCCTTCTCTAAGGAGCACAGGACATCACAGTGGAGTGTAAAAGGCATGAGCTCCATCATCAGACCTGGATGGGAAGCCAAGTTTCAGACTTACCCTTACTTTGTCCCTGGGCAAGTTACTACTCGGTGGCTGAAATATGTAGACTAATTCCTTAATCTTGAAGTTGTAAAAAGCCTTAACTAAAATAACATATATAGAGTTTCTAGCAAGTACTTGGCGCATAGTTTTCATACTTAATAAATATAAATCCCTCCATATACTGGGCCAAGGGAAACAACACTGGTGCTGACACAGTCCTGGTCTTCAAGCCCACAAGAGGAGTCTCAGTGAAAAGAATCCTAGTGTGGTCTACAGCAGGACCAGCTCTTGAGTTTTCAAGAGACAGGGTCTTGCTCTGCCACCCAGGCTGGAGCAAAGCAGAGCAATCATAGCTCACTGCAGCCTCAAACTCCTGGACTCAAGTGATCCTCGCACCTCAGCCCCCAGTAGCTGGGACTACAGGCAAGTCCTACTGCGCCCAGCTAATTGTTTTTTATTTTTTGTAGAGACAGGGTCTTGCTATGTTGCCCTGGCTGGTCTGACACTTCTGGCCTCAAATGATCCTCCTGCCTCAGCCTCCCAAAACGCTAGGATTTACAGACATGGCCACCACACCCAGCCTTTGAGTCATTTTTAACCATCAATCCCAAAGCCTCACTCATCATATTATGTTAGCAGCATAAACAGTCATAGTATGAGCCTATGTACAACTCAAAAAGGAAACTGGACTCTGCCGGTCCAGTGAAACACAAAACAAAACAACACATGCTCTGTGGCTGACAATTTCACACTTGCCAAAATTACGCATATTTTTCTCTGTTATTACATCAAAGCTTCTTTCTTGAAAGTATTTGAAGTGTATTTTGTAGATCTGATGAAATTATGAATCATTACAAACTCTTTTTAAGAAAAATTTCCTAAGGGCCCTCTCCAAACTAAGAGACCAAAATAACTGCACATTTGGCTATAATTATGCCTTTATAGATTTTCTCTTTCTTATTTCAATAGCATCATATTATATAATGCAGCCCCATTATTAAAAATGACAACACCCAAATTTTTTATCCATTAATTGAAATGATGAAAATAATTTTTTTAACAAGCTCTAATATAGCTTCTTCTTTTGAGTTAGTATTAAAACGAATCACACAAATTATTTTAACTATCCTTCTCCTTACTGCTTATCCATCAGGCGAAGTCAGTAGCAGGTCACCTTAAGTTTATCTTAACTTTAGATGGTACCTTGGGCACATTATTCAACTACAAACTTCAGGAGTATCTACAATGTTTTTTGCAATAGGAATCCACATCACTTAATTCAAACATGATTCCAGATCACTAAACTCAAATACACAGTTAAACAGTTTGTTTTTGGATGAGGTCATTTTATTCACTGCTGATTTTAAATGAACATTATTACAACGGATGTCTATAGCAGGAGAGGCTGGAGAATAGGTGAAAAGGTCTGAACAGAGGAAGACGTCACACCAGAGACATTTCTCAAGCAAGATAGTTCTCTCTTATGAACAAGATCTGAGTATCATTCATCAAGTCTAGAGAATAATACATAAATGCAGCAGGAGATGAATGACATAATATTCTGGTAACTTCAAACCATTTTACAAACCATTTTCTAGCTACAAAATAATAGTAATAGAGGCTTCCAGTTAATGAATGGACATTTGGAAATTAATGCTGTATAATTAATTGGTGAATGGAGAAATTTAAACTAAGGTAATAGGGGAGGCACACCCTATTTTGATTAGAATCAGCCAGAAGCTATGAGAGAAAGGATGAGTGCCCAGTAGAACAACTCTCTGAAGAGATCTAGGCTGATATGTTGGCAGGGGATAAAGAAGAAAATTTGGGTAGCAAGTCAACACCTTCCTCCGCCCTTGCTGGCTTTGATAGCGCATACATCCCAAGAAGCTTTCTGAAGATAACAACGCTGCCCTAGCAATCTAGCCAGCTAGGAACAGGATTTGCTTATTCTACTATCAAATACTTGTCTGCCTGAAAATTTACCTCTCATTGCTTGTTAACAAGTGACTTTCTAGTAGACATCAATATTCAAAAAATTCTGTTTAAGCATATCAGATTTTCCAGGATCTGATCAGCCCTGGATAACCAGACCACTGGTGTTACCTGAACTACGAAGCTATTATTTCTTATTTTTTTAGAGATGGGGTCTTGCTGTATCACCCAGGCTTAAATGCAGTAGCATGATCATGGCTCACTGCAGTCTTGACCTCACAGACTCAAGTAATCCTCCCATCTCAGCCTCCCAAGTAGCTGGGACTTCAGGTACATGCCACCAATCCCAGCTGAAGTTTTTTTTGGTGGGGTGTGGGGAAGATAGAGACTAGGTTTTGCTATGTTGCCCAAGCTGGTCTTGAACGTCTTGCCTCATCTGATCCTCCTGCCTCAGCCTCCCAAAGTGCTGGGATTACAGACATGAGCCTCCACGCCCAGCCACAAAGCTATTACTAAAGCAAGTCCTGCTAGCATGAGTGTGGTCCAATAAGACTTTACAAATCGGCTTTGGCAAACTATGAGCTCCACACCATATCAGAACACAATCTGTTCTTTAGTTGTCCATAGTGTACACCCAATTTAATTTGGAACATTTCTTACCACAGATTTCCTGCACTTTCAAATGCATATTAATATCATCTTTCTTTACACAATTACTTATTTTAAATTTTCCTTAGCCTCATTTTACCCTTTTTTAGACCTAAGATGTGTTTCTTATTGAAAATATTATAATAACTTGACAATTTTTAAGGAGTACTATTAAAAGAAGGTAATCCAAAATACAACGTGGTCTTGCTAGAAACTAGGAATGCCCCTCCATATATCGATATCCTATTGGAATATTTAATAAGGGAGTCAAGAAAAGTACACTCTTACACACTTCAAAGGTTTAAATCAACCAATCGGTAAGTTCAACTATGTATTTATTATATCTCATGATGTTAAATTCCAAAGCCACAGCCACAATAAAGTATCAATATGGTAAGGCAAGTGAGAATTATACTCATTCATTGAAAAATTACTGAATGCCCAGAATGGGCCATTTATTGAGAGCTTTCAGGCACTGAAAAGTTAAACAGAATACATAATCCCTGTATTTAAGGATTTTATGGTCTAGGGGAGTAAGCTAAATAAAAAGTTTCGGCCAGGTGCGGTGGCTCACGCCTGCACTTTGAGAGGCCGAGACGGGCAGATCACGAGGTTAGGAGATTGAGACCATCCTGGCTAACACAGTGAAACCCCGTCTCTACTAAAAAAAAAAATACAAAAAATTAGCCGGGCGTGGTGGCAGGTGCCTGTAGTTCCAGCTACTCGGGAGGCTGAGGCAGGAGAATGGTGTGAAGCCGGAAGGCGGGGCTTGCAGTGAGCCGAGATCGCACCACTGCACTCCAGCCTGGGCGACAGAGCGAGACTCCTCAAAAAAAAAAGTTTCAATAGTACTGTAACAGAGGTATGTGTTATGAAGTAACTAACTTGAGCAAAGCAGAAAAACTCTACAGATGTTAACTTTTAAGCTGGTCCTGAGAGGAAAATAAGAATGTATTCAGCAAATCAGAGGAATGTTTAGGGAGAAGAAACAGCAAGGCACTGAAAGGCAAGAAATCACATTATGCAAGGACTTCACTACCACTAGAACAAACAAGGCTCGGTGACAGGCGAGTGAGAAGAAAGCGATCAACAGAGAAGGCAGAAGCCACATCCAGAGGGCCTCTGCCATATTAAGGCACTCAGCTTCCATCCTACAGATTATGGGGAACTCCTGAAGCATCTGCCTGCACCGGAGACTGTCTGTCCTCAGGAGATAATGGGTATTGGGATTTATAGCTTTCCTGCGCTCCCCAAGCCTCTCTGGCTTCCTCTTGCTTGGAGAGTTGAGACTTGAGGGCAAGGAGAATGGGTGGATACTCTTCCTCCAAACCTAAATGGACATAGGCTGAAAATCATCCTCAGGGTCCTCTTATACCCACCTGATGCTGAATGGCTTCAGATAATCTTTAACAGCGTGGAATCTTAGAATGGAAAGAGAACCAGTACAGCAGTCTACTTCTCAACTCTGCAAGAATCTGCTCAATACACCTTGATCTACTACTACACACTGGACAACCACAATGTCCTCCCTGTGCCTTCTTTCCTCAGAATCACTTGCTACGGTCCTCCCAACCTGGCATTACTTGAATTCCTTTCTGAAACTGTCTCCCTCTCTCCTTAAAATGTACTCTCCTTAGAGAGTCACTCTTTAGAATGTACTCTAGTTGGTCAGAAGACGACAAAAAGAACCCCCATGTTCTCTAACCATGGTAGAGTACCATAGGCACATTAAGTTCTCAGAGCAGAACATGCTATTTCTTGGCTAGCACTGACCTTTACAGAACTACAGGACCTGGATCATTTTAAATCTGTTGTCAAATAAAACACCTAATTCTTGTTCATATGAACTGTTCTCATAAGCAGCATTTACCTGTCCTTCAAATCACGTATCACAGTTATAATTTAACATTTATATGTGTGATTATTTAAGTAATGTCTACATTCCCAGCCTATAGACTAAGAATACTGAATGCGGCCGGGAGCGGTGTCTCACGCCTGTAATCCCAGCACTTTGGGAGGCCAAGGCGGGCGGATCACGAGGTCAAGAGATCGAGACCATCCTGGCTAACACGGTGAAACCCCATCTCTACTAAAAATACAAAAAATTAGCCGGGCGTGTGGCGGGCGCCTGTAGTCCCAGCTACTCGGGAGGCTGAGGCAGAAGAATGGCATGAACCTGGGAGGCAGAGCTTGCAGTGAGCCAAGATCAGGCCACTGCACTCCAGCCTGGGCAACAGAGCAAGAGTCTGTCTCAAAAAAAAAAAAAAAAAAAAAGATACTGAATACAGGCACAAAACTAATTTTTGTTGGCTTTTTTTTCTATTTCCTTTCCACTGTCATTGTCCTGTGAAGTCTTAGTATAGTGTCTATTCCAAAGGAAGGGTTCAATAAATGTCAGATGAAGAATTAGATACATATATTTAAAAATTACATGAAGCAAGATATATTGTCACCGCAGCAACAAAATCAAAATTCTATAGAAGGCCAGTGGAGATTTTTTTCACTTCCTCTGTGGAGAAAAGGTGTCGTGGAGGAAGGGACACGCAAGCAGATTCCTGAATGGTGGGGTTTTTGTTTTTGCTTTTGTTTTTTTGAGGTGGGATCTCATTCTGTCACCCAGGCTGAAGGGTAGTGGTGCGATCTTAGCTCACTGCAACCTCCATCTCCCGGGCTCCAGTGATCCTCCCATTCCTGCCTCCCGAGTAGCTGGAACCACAGGCACATGCCATCATGCACGGCTAATTTTTTTTTCTTCTTTTTTTGGTAGAGACAGGGCTTCACCATGTTGTCCAGGCTCTGGTCTCAAACTCCTGAGCTCAAATGATCCACCTCCCTTGGCCTCCCAAAGTGCTGGGATTATGAATGCTGTTTTAAATAACACTGAAACTAAAGAAAAATATTTGGGCACCAAAACAACCAATAAAAACCATGTTTTTGAAGAATAGCTATGTACATGGGAAAATGCTCATAATATTAAGTTCATAAACACGATACAAGAGTATGGCTGCCTCTCCCTCCAAAAAACCCTGAAAGGAAATAGTTTAAATATTAATAGCAGTTGCTGCTGGGTTGTGGGATTACTGGTGATTTGTATTTTCTTCTTCATGCTTTATTGTACTTTCCAATTTTTCTATAATAAAGATTTTTATAATCAGAGGGGAAAATATTTGGATTGTTTAACACATTTAGGATGAAACAGCTGTATCATTTTAAGTCGTTAGGTTTTATCAAACAGGTTTCTGGACCATTTTTTCACTGTCATACTTTATTTGAATGGTATAAGCATAAGGAATGCTGGATAAGAAATTTCAGTCCCAAAGAAAATTACAAATTATCATCCTACCCCAGTCTTCATAAATTGCATTTACTCTCTAATCTCCTTTGGATTTGAAAAGATGGAAATCTTGACAACATGTGACAAAGGACTTATATTTACAGGTAATACTAGAAAATCAGAAACTAGTACCAGCGAATGCACTTGTCCGCTGGATATTAACTGTTCCCTTTCCCACTCTCCTCCGAGCCCTTCAGATGAGGAAACACAGCACCACACTGACAGTCTGCATGTCAGACCGAGGAAAGGGTGGGCTCCTGACGATGAGTCTCTACTAAATGTGAGGAACACAAAGACCCATTACCTACATTACTACACACTTTAGTCCAATTAATTAAAAAGTTGAGAAGTATGCCACAAAACACTGCCTATTACCAAAGAAATGAAGAAAAATATACTCAATATTCCTAAATATGAAACATCTCACTTGTCCCCTGCAATCTACAGGAAATCTGAAATGGGAGATTAAAGTGCCTTTCTATGTCTAAGACTACACAAAATATAAAAAATAGTGGTGGAAAAAACTACCACTTTAAGTAGATGTCAGATTTCCTACAAATGGTACTATCTTAAAAACAGAAATTCAAATATAAGTAAAAGATTTTCTGAGCAATGATCATCAATCATGTATCTTCCTTAACTAGTCAAAGGTGGCAAAAGGGAAACATAGAAACTATGAAGGAATGCACAGTTTCCAGTTAGTTAAATCTATTACCCACTGAGCCATCTAGACAGATGCCTTGTACAACTCATTTTTCTTTCCTCTTAAAACCCCTAAGCTTTGACCCACTGGTCCCTCTTCTCTCCAGTTACAATTACCTACCCATCTCCTAGGGGTCTGTTTCCCTCAGGACTTCCTGCAGAGGAACCAGCCCTATCTCACCCTTTATCAAGTCTTCCTATCTTTGAAACAATCAGACAAACAAATCTTTGGTGATTCATCAGAAATCAATTCTAATAAACAGGTCAGGCACGGTGGCTCATGCCTGTAATCCCAGCACTTCGAGAGGTCGAGCTAGAAGGAATGCTTGAGCCTAGGAGTTCGAGACCAGCCTGGGCAACACAGCAAGACCCTATCTCTACCAAACAACAACAAAAACTAAAAACCTATTTATATAGGTAAGGTGGTAAAAAATACATATGACACACTATGACTACAGAATCAACAAACCTCAGAAAGTTCTTCAATGAAAAATTTGAATCCTGGCTAAAATGTAGGTAGCACTAGGGAGGGTTTTGATTTAAAAACAAATAAATCTGGCCAGCTTTAAGATCCTAAAGCTCCACAGATGATTCTGATGTTCAGCCAGGGCTGACAACCACTTTCAGAGACTTTCAGACTGTCACTCATGCAATCGTGTATTTAAGCTTCTACCATTTTCTGCAGGAAATATCTTTAGCCTCTCATTCTCTCTATCCATGCGGATCCTAAGTTATCCTATTAAAAAAGAAGAGCACGTGTGACGTGTGGGCCAACAAAGTGCCTCTAGAGTCTGGAATTTGACACGGAAAGGGTAAGCTTCAATTACGTTAAAATCTCAGTTAGGTGCATTCATAGCATTTCCCCAGGCTATGAAAAGAAAAGCTAAAGTATGTGTAGAAGCTATGCACTCTTAAATCCTTAATGTACACAGTAGATAATAATATTCATGTGGTTTTGCAGATAATTCCTTGTGAATGATCTCCCAAATACATAAGATAAATTAGACTTAACTTCTTTGTAGCTTGGGTCAATTAAAGTCTAGATGGTAGATTCTGCTTTGACAAAAACCTGCGTCTGTATCTTTTATTGAATAATTTTTGCATTACTTTTTCAAACTTGTGGTACATTATCCTAAAATGAACAATAATGAACAAAGTATTTTGCAGTATCTACTGACTTAGGGAAAATTAAAAATCATATTTTAGGCCTTCTCAATAAATGCCATTTTCTGCACACCAGAGTCATTTCTCACAAATTCAAATATTTGAACACCTTGTATGAAGTATGTGCTGTGCACTGATATCTCAGTTAACAACACACCTTGCTCTGCAGAGTGATCTGTCTTGGCTTTTATCCAAAAGGAAGATGAAATGCAATGTCTTCGTATCATACTGATACTCTAGAAATTAACTTGGATTCATCTTTAGCATAACAAATTGAATCATACCAAAAGCATCTGCCTTAGGTTTTTATTTAAATGTTAAGCACAGTAAAACCAACCATTTTAATGGCTCAAGAAACAAGAAAGACACAAAATCCAATAATTTAAGCAACGAAGGGTTACGATGCTGGTTAAGTAGTTTCCTCTATATAAAAGACAATTCTCCACGTGTAGAACAGAAATCGTAACACATTCCTGCTAGAAAACAACTTCTGCAGAGGTGAAATGGTTATCTAGAAGAATCGTTTGAAACATACGTATGCATACCTTTTCATAAAGTCTTTTTATTTAACAAATTTTTATGTGCCTTCTGTTATTCAGACAGCCTGTGTTAAACACCTACAGAAGCCACACACACACCTTTCTTGGCTACAGTAATGATGTCTTTGATTACTGAATTAAAGACAAACTTTAAGATGTGACCTTTAGCTAACTATTTTTTTCTTTTGTTCCTTAGACAGGGTGGCATGATCATAGCTCACTGCAGCCTTGAACTCCTGTGCTCAAGGGATCCTCCCACCTCAGCCTTCTGAGGAGATGGGACTACAGGCGGGTACCAGCACACCTGGCCTAGTCAACTATTTTTAAATAGTTCTGTATTAACAATATTTACTCAGTCTTTCTTTTTTTTTTTTTTTTTTTTTTTTTTTTGAGACAGAGTTTCGCTCTTGTTGCCCAGGCTGGAGTGCAATGGCGCGATCTCAGCTCACTGCAACCTCCACCTCCCAGATTCACGCAATTCTTCTGCCTCAGCCTCCCGAGTAGCTGGGATTACAGGCATGCGCCACCATGCCCAGCTAATTTTGTAATTTTAATAGAGACAGGGTTTCTCCATGTTGGTCAGGCCGGTCTCGAACTCCTGACCTCAGGTGATCTGCCTGCCTTGGCCTCCCAAAGTGCTGGGATTACAGGCGTGAGCCACTGCGCCCGGCCACAGTCTTTCTTTTAATATCTATCCATAACTAAGGGCCAGCTACTGTTCATAGGGAAGATTTTTCACACAAACCAATGAGAAAATTCACAGTAACGAGAAGAAAGTACTCAAGTTTGGATCCTGGTTAAACCTTACACAGCCTCAGTAGATCAACTTGGTCTGTCTAAATCAATGGTACTGAAGGTATGTATTAATGAGATAATACATTTGAAAATGATTTTAAACTAAAAATAAAAGGATCATTCAGTTATCTTCTAGTCAGGAGCTGCCAGGACACACCAAAACAAGTAAAACAGGGTTCATCTGTTTATTCATCTTTGAAATGTTACCATTTTCTTCTTCCCTTCCCTTTCCTTCTCCCTTTGTTTCTTCCTTTCTTCATTTTACAGATATTTACTGTGCATCTACCATATACCAGATATAGTCGCTGTGATGGTTAATATTCAGTGTCAACTTGATTGGATTGAAGGATGCAAAGTATTGTTCCTGGGTGTGTCTGTGAAGGTGTTGCCAAAGGAGATTAACACTGGAATCAGTGGACTGGGAAAGGCAGACCCACCCTCAATCTGGGTGGGCACCATCTAATCAGCTGCCAGCACAGCCAGAATAAAAGCAGGCAGAAGAACGTGAAGAAACTAGACTGGCTGAGTCTCCCAGCCTACATCTTTCTCCTGTGCTGGATGTCTCCTGCTCTCCAACATTGGAATCCAAGTTCTTCAGCTTTGGGACTTGGACTGGCTTCCTTGCTCCTCAGCTTACAGACGGTCTATTGTGGGACCTACAAACTCCCCTTTATATATACATCTATCCTATTAGTTCTGTCCCCCTAGAGAATCCTGACTAATATAGTCACCACACTGTCCAATATGACAGGCAGTAGTCACACGTGGCCATTAAGAATTTGAAATGGCACTAGTACAAACTGAGATATACGGTAAGCATAAGATATACACTAGATTCTGAAAACAAAAGAATGTGCAGGCCAGGTGCGATGGCACACGCTTGTAATCCCAGCACTTTGGGAGGCTGAGGCGGGCGGATCACGAGGTCAGGAGATCGAGACCATCCTGGACAACATGGTGAAACCCCGTCTCTACTAAAAATACAAAAATTAGCTGGGCGTGGTGGCACATGCCTGTAATCCCAGCTACTCGGGAGGCTGAGGCAGCAGAATCACTTGAACCAGGGAGTCAGAAGTTGCAGTGAGCCGAGATTGCGCCACTGCACTCCAGCCCAGGCAACAGAGCAAGACTTGTTTCAAAAAAAAAAAAAAAAAAAAGAATGTACAAAAGAAAGTAAAGCATCTCTATAATTTTTTATATGTATTATATGTTGAGATAATATTTCACATAAATCAGATGAAATAAAATATATTATTAAAATTAAATTCACTTTTCTTTTTACTTTGTCTTAATGCAACTAGAAATATTTAAATATAATGAAGGCACAGCATACATCTATTGGATAGAGCTATTCAATAGAGGTTTTATTAGGGAACAAAACCAAGTCCCTATCCTCGAGGAGCTTTTGTTTTAACATCTGTAGCACTAAATTTTTCAGTAATCAGCAGCAAAAACTAAAAACCAGCAACTGTTGCAGAGAAGACTCTGGGATGGAGGCCATACCCACACCTACCTACTTTCCTTTAGTCCTCACTCCACCAAAGACAAGGCCTATGGTCCCCAGAATAATCAGAGTCAGTAAAATTGTGAGTTATGACCTTGACCATGTTGAGGAAGACTGTCTCTACCCTGTTGGGCACTTCTGAGAGCACGACCAATTTTAATCAGAACTTCTGAGGGAGAAAGCTTTTAATCTGGGGCATCGGTAGTTTCAAGGCATCCTTTTTTAGTACTCTGGGTTGTGCCTTAAAAATATTTTAAAAGGTTTCCAACTGTTGAAAGATGTGTCTTAACAATGACACCCTCTCCTGGATTCTAACATCCTCCTTTATTACAAGAGTCCTTTATCGCTGTCCTCTCCACAAGTCCGATTAACCCTGACTCTCCTCAATACCTTTCATTCCCCACATCACAGCCAGAGTGCTTCCAGATAAAGAGCAAAAAGCTGAATTAAACAACACAAGTCCATTACAGCAATGCTGAAAGTCCCTACCGATCTGAAGGAGACAGTCAAAAGGAAACGCGGGTCAGGCTGACTACAGAAGACATGCCAGTTAAATGTGAGATTACTGGCGGTTTTAAGATTTTAGAGAATATCCAAAGAATGAGTTTAATTTAGACCAAATGGGCCCATATTTCAATAGCAGTTTACCACCAAAAAAGGCATGTTGAGTATTTGAACTTCATATTCCATGTGTTAGAAACTTACCTTAAATTCAAACCACAACATGGCAAATGTTTTGCTGGCCCATACATCTTTCTGGCTGACTACAAACAAATCAAGGCTTTTGAGAGATTCTCTATGCCATAAAAGGCTCTATTGGGTGTAGCAGAAAAGCCCAGAAGCTCCAGTTTCAAGGCGGCGGTGTCGTTTCATGTTGAACCCATTCCCGTGCACCACTCATGCTGTTCTCTCGGCTGGGTGTGCCCCTCTCCCTTCTGCCAACTCAAATGTTAGGCCTTCAAGGCCAAGCCCCAAACCCAGGCCCCACACAAACCCAGAATAATCTCCCTCCTTCATTCTCACAGGAACCAATGTATTGAACATAAATCACCTTATCTCTTCCCTAGGGATTTTAAACACCTGCAACTCAGAAAGAAAGCAAAGAAAAAAGTCAGCATGACATCTGAAAATTCATCACCTTCCCTTTCATTCCGTTGGACTTATCTGATCTTTATTCAGCAATAATGCTGTGCCTAACACCAGGGACATGAAAAGTATGTACAGGCAGAATTCAAGTAATTCGCAGTCTGGCTGAGAAAAAAAACAAGCACATAATGACCCTGCCACCTAACAAACCCTATATGAAAAGAACCAGCAAAGTGCCACCTGAGCCCATGGAAGGGCCCGTCCTCCTGGGTGACTGAAAAAGCCCCAGAGAATAGGTAATAAACAAGCAAAGAAGTTAAGAATAAGTAGAAATTCATAAGGAAAAGTGGGTGATATGGTTTGGATATTCATGCCTTCCAAATCTCCTGTTGAAATGTGTTCCCCAGTGTGGAAGGTGGGGCCTGCTGGGAGGTACTAGATCATGGAGGCAGATCCCTCATGATGGATTAGCACCATCCCCTTGGTGATAAGTGAGTTCTGGCTCAGTTAGTTCACCTGAGATCTGGCTGTTTAAAAGTGTGTGGCACCTCCCTCCTCTGTCTTTCCCCCACCACCCCTTCTCCTCCCTCTCCCTTTCATCATGATTGTAAGCTTCCAGAGGCCCTCGCCAGGAGCTGAGCAAATGACTGTGCCATGCTAGTACCGCTTGCAGAACCATGAGCTAATTAAGCCCCTTTTCTTTATAAATTACCCAGTCTTGGATATTTATAGCAATGCAAAAATAAACTAACACAGTGAAAAAGGCATTTCAAAGGCAGTAACGCATGGTATATTAAGAGAAATGAGAGGATGTGCTTAAAACCTTCACACAGAACCATTTTAAAAATATCTTCCAATATATTAAATTATTCATCTGGGCATTTGAGACTCTACATAAATGGAACCCCATCCAGCTTTGCTACATTTCCCAAAGTATAACATAGCAAGTAAGAGTGAACTCTCCAGGACCAGTGTGGGTTAAGAGTTTCAAGTTTCTTAACCTCAATTTCTTCATCTGTAAAATGGAATGACAATAATACCTATCTCATAGGGTTACTATGTTATTGTTATGAGGAAATGATAAGAACACTTAAAACAGCACAAGTTAAACATTCAATAAACACTAGCATTATTATCATTTATTTTCCTCACTAGACAATGTAGCAATCTGAAGTTGTTATCCTCAACACATGCCTCAATCTGAAAAACTCTTCATAGGTTCAAGTCCCATCTAGTAAGACACTGCTTAAATACTACCTCCCACATGAAGCCTTCACTCCCTCTATTCATTGGGGAAATCAGTGTTTCTCCATCCTTTAAACTCCCAGAATATTCTGCTGGGCCTCTCTGGGGCACCCATCACTGTGTTATGATTATGGTCACTTCTGATTTCCTCGACAAGGCTACAACTCTTTAAGAGCAGAAACTATATCTTACTGATCTTGGTCTTCCCCAGAGAACTGATCTTTCACATATGGGCACTCAATATTTGCTGTTGAACAAATAAAAATACTCTCTCCTTTAATTAAGAACAGACTGGTGCTTTTAAAAGTGCTATAATATCTATCAAGCAATTCATCCTAATTACAAAAAAAAACCCTTACCGAGGGAGAAACTCTGAGAGCAATTCTACACAGCTCAGTCCTTAGTGACTCCTACAGAAAAGTCAAGAACAAGATGGTGTTCTTAAAGAGACCGACAACTGCCAAAATGGAGTCACCTTCGGACTGCTACTGGCTAAACGAATCTCTCTCCTTCCTTCTTAATTCTCTGAACAAGTTCTAATGTAAATTTGTTTAGGCTTTTGTTATCTTTCTGTTACGTATTTACAAAAGGTGGGACAAAGTTTCCATATCATATTCATTGCTTATCCAGATTCTAAAGCCTATTTCATCCGGATATGTTTTCTACCACCCAAGTAAAGAAAAGCTAGTCTAGAACCACCCCAAACACTTGGCTTATGCAATAATAATATCAGCACCAAACTACATAGAATTCTTAGCTTTAGCGCCTTTCTCCCTAGTGAAAGCAGAGGGGAAGAGCACCTAATCCAGAAATTACCACTGTCCTCTAACACTATTCTAACTAGACAGCATAATTATTGCTAAGTATTACTTGATTAAAATTCTAAACTTTAATTAGCAGAAAAAAATGTTAACTTGGATTGGCTTCCTCTTACAAGTAGAAACATTCTCACATTTAAGCACACTCAAGGAATTCAAAGACATTCTTCATTTACTATGCAGTACTGATGACTTTTAAAAAGAACCTCAAAAATTTAAACAAAAAAAGAGAAAATAGGATAAAGCAGAACTCAGACAGTACTACCCCATCTCTAAAATCTGTAAATGCAGTTATTTTCATAATATCACAATGGGTATCATGGATTCAAAAAGGAATTAGGCATAGAAAGATAGTAAGGTTATCATACCAGAAATATATTCACAGAGAAGAGGGCACCAAGAATTAACAACCTGACCAGCACACACAGTCTATCAGAAATACAGAAAATCACCACAATGCAGTTGCCAACAAAGGACCAAAGTAAGTCTGTTCAATTCAATAATAATGTTACTTTATGATAAAGATTATTTTGAATATTTCTAGGACAAAAAGATCATAAGGAAAGGGAATTCACTGGAACAGCTTCTAAAACAAGAATCCACCCGATTTTTCAAGTGCTAAAGCTGTCTATACTTTATGTCAACAAATACAAACATTCAGTTATATAACTCTATTTTCCATTTTTTAAACTATTTTTAATATACCCATCACCATTATCACAAAATTAGCAAAATCATTATAAATTTATCTTTCCCTCTATAATCTAGCTTCTTTCAAATATACGAATATGAAGGGCGGGGTGAGGGGGATTCCAAACTCATTAAATAAGTCATATTGGGGCCAGGCATGGTGGCTCATGCCTGTAATCCCAGCACTTTGGGAGGACAAGGAGGGCGGATCACGAGGTCAGGAGATTGAGACCATCCTGGCTAACACAGTGAAACCCCGTCTCTACTGAAAATACAAAAAATTAGCCGGGCACCGTGGTGGGCACCTGTAATCCCAGCTACTCGGAAGGCTGAGGCAGGAGAATCACTTGAACCCGGGAGGCGGAGGTTGCAGTGAGCCAAGATCACGCCACTGGACTCCAGCCCAGGCGACAGTGCCAGACTCCATCTCAAAAATAAAATAAAATAAGTCATATCAATGAATGTCTTATATTTTGTACAAATGCCAATTGCACTATGGGGGTAATAGTCAATTATTAATATTCCTTTTTTCCTTCATTTCTTCCCATTAAGGGTGGGAAACTTCTACTTTTCCTCACTTGTGAAATATGCTTTAAGAGGCTTACATGGGCAGCATATAAGTGTTGCTAAGCTGCTAGTACTTGGATCTTTGGTCTTCAAGTGCATGGATTTTATACTCAAACATGACAATAACTACATAAGTATTATGATGATTAAGAGATCAGACAGGGCTGGATCTAAAAGGCCTGAAAAATAGATATTGTATCCCTACTCTACTTGGAATCATTTCCCTGCTTCCCAAGGCTAAGAGCTATGGCTCTCTATCAAGGCCTACCAACCCTGACATTGCATAGATTTTAGATTTCTTCTACCCTGCTATCCAAAAAACTTAAGAGTCCTGTATCCTATTCTCTTAAAGTCTTGTTCTCCAGATAAAACCAAATTTTTGTCCAGAGGCCAAAGGCAGATAACATCCCAGGATATAACTTCTTCAGTAACAACACAGGCAATTAACAGGAATCTTTGGAATGCATCGCAAAATACCAGACTGAACATGGAGCAATTTAGAGGCCTGTAAGTTCTTGAGCATTTAAGTACCATATTTGGGCAGCTGTCTACCTTCATGCAGGACTGTATCTGGGATATGAAGAAGTTATGAGATGAGCGTCATTTTACAAAGCATGGGACAAGTTTTACACCACAAAGGATATTCAACTAAAAGTTATCTACAAGAACCATTTAATTATCAAAGGACATAAACACAAATAATTTAATTCCTAACTATCCAAAAGTATGTTAATTATTCCATACACAATTTTACACACATTAGGTATGTTTTTAAACCCTTTTCTATTACCTTACAAGTAAGATACCCTTAACAACTCTGTGAAGTTTACATTTCTGGGTGAAGAAACTAGCAGTATATTTACATGACTTAGATTAAAATGGCAACTCTGTGACTTTCAAATCCTAGGTCAAAGAAACCTCTATTCTATATTATTATTATTATTTTCAAAAAGAAGGCACTTGAAAGAATATGGCAATAATAAGTTATCAAAACACAAAAAATAGCTAATCATTTACAAAAACATTTTATGTGATAGTGAGCCCCATAACAAAAAAAGACGGTATTAAAATTGTAAAATGGAAAATGTATAAAATACTGCTCAATGTCTACCAAACGAAGCACAAAGAAAGTAAACACCACTAATACTTTCTAATGTAAATGAAATCTACAGCAAGAAATACATTAGTTTTCAAATCACTGAAATAGACACCATACGCGCACGCGCGCACACACACGCACTCTTTTTTCCTTACATGGCAGAAGATAACACTGAATTAGTGTTTTATATTTTAAAGATCAGGTTAACAACAATGTATGTCAATTAAAAGTCTTACTGTGCCAGGTGCAGTGGCTCACGCCTATAATCCCAACACTTTGGAAGGCTGAGGTAGGAGGCTCGCTTGAGGCCAGTACTGGGCAACACAGCGAGACCACATTTCTTTAAAAAAAAAAAAAAAATTAATTAGCCAGGCACGGTGGCCTGCACCTGTAGTCATAGCTACTTGGGAGGGTGAGGTGGGAAGACTGCTCAGGCCCAGGAGTTTGAAGCTGCAGTGAGCAATGATCAGGCCACTGTATTCCAGCCTGGGCAACAGAGTGAGACCCAGTCTCTTAAAGGAAAAAAAAAAAAAGAAAGAAAGAAAGTCTTAATGTAATGTAAGTAAGTGGATGACACTTACCTCCATTCCCTCCGGAAATGACAACAAAGAACATGACAGAAAAATATGAAAAAAAGGCAACAGCATATGAGATGTCAACAAAATTCTGACAGATAGAAAAGCAACACATAACTGGGAATTGATTTAGCAAACTGGAGAAAGCTGAAAACGAAGTGTGAGGAAGTCACCAGGAGGAAGCAATCTATTCATGATACAGAACTTCAGAACGGCTAAGAAACTGAGGTACTAAGGGGTGAGGCTGAAAATGAGAAGAACTAGATCAATAAGGGGACTACCATTGAAATGGCAGGGCCCAAACAGATCATCCAGAGGCAAAGGAATGCCAGCCTCACCACACACAGAGCTTCTAATCAACTTTTAAATAGAGTATTACCATCAAGAGTATAATTATGAAAAGCAACATTTCATAATTATAAAGGAGACAATTCATGAAGGCATACAATTATGAATGTACACACATCTCAAAATAAATGAAGCAACAACAGACATAATAAAAAAAGGACAATGACAAAATCATCATAGATTTTCAATGTATCACTCAGTGATAGAACAATTAGACAAAAAAAAAAATCAGGAATGACCTAGAAGTTCTGAAAAACACTATCAACCTAATTAACATTCACAGAAAATGTGGCAATTGAAAAAGACACATTCCTTTCAAATGCACATGGTACATTTATCAAGACAGATCATATCATATGGTGGGCTCTCAATAAAAGGATTGAAATTCCACAAATATTCTCTGACCACAACAGAATTAAATTAGAAATCAATAACAGGATATCTAAGAAAATCCCCAATGTATGAAACAACACACCTCCAGAGCTCATAGGTCAAAAATGAAACCAAAAAGGAAATCAGAAAACATCTGAACCAAATGGCAACAAATAGAAAACATGTCTTATTTTAAATGCTTAATAAAAGAAAATAAGAAAGATCTACCACAGTTACCTAAGGTTCCACCTTAAGAAACAAGAAAAAGAGCAAACTAAACCCAAAATAGAAAGAAGAAAATAACAGAAAACAGAAGTCACTGAAATGAAAAAAAGACAACAGAAAAAATTAACACAGCCAAAAGCTGAGTCTTTAAAAGTACCATATCAACAAAACCGACACACTTTTAGTTAGAGTGATCAAAAAAAAAAAGACAAAACACAAATCATTAGTATCAGAAATGGAAATACAAAACCAAAAAACCAGAGATCCTATAGACATTTAAGAAGATTAGCTCTCCCTCTCCCTCTCCTTCTTTCCACTGTCTCCCCCTCTCCCTCGTCTCCATCTCCTGCTTTCCACGGTCTCCCTCGGTTGCCGAGGCTGGACTGTACTGCTGCGATCTCGGCTCACTGCAACCTCCCTGCCTGATTCTCCTGCCTCAGCCTGCCGAGTGCCTGGGATTGCAGGCACGCGCCGCCACGCCTGACTGGTTTTTGTATTTTTTGGTGGAGACGGGGTTTCGCCGTGTTGGCCGGACTGGTCTCCAGCTCCTGAACTCGGGTGATCTGCCCGCCTCGGCCTCCCGAGGTGCCAGGATTGCAGACGGAGTCTCACTCACTCAGTGCTCAATGTTGCCCACGCTGGAGTGCAGTGGCGTGATCTCAGCTCGCTACAACCTCCACCTCCCAGCCGCCTGCCTTGGCCTCCCAAAGTGCTGAGATTGCAGCCTCTGCCCGGCCGCCACCCCGTGTAGGAAGTGAGGAGCGTCTCTGCCTGGCTGCCCATGGTCTGGGATGTGAGGAGCCCCTCTGCCTGGCCACCCAGTCTGGGAAGTGAGGAGCGTCTCTGCCTGGCCGCCCAGTCTGGGAAGTGAGGAGCATCTCTACCCGGCTGCCACCCTGTCTGGGAGGTGAGGAGTGCCTCTGCCCGGCCGCGACCCCGTCTGGGAACTGAGGAGTGCCTCCGCCCGGCCGCCCCGTCTGAGAAGTTGAGGAGCCCCTCCACCCGGCAGCCGCCCTGTCTGAGAAGTGGAGAACGCCCCCGTCCGGCCGCCGCCCCGTCTGGGAGGTGGGGGGGCACCCCCGCCCAGCCGCCACCCCATCTGGGAGGTGGGGGGGCGCCCCCACCCGGCCGCCGCCCCATCTGGGAGGTGGGGGCTGCCTCTGCCTGGCCGCCCCATCTGGGGGGTGGGGGGGCCCCTCTGCCCGGCCGCCACATCTGGAAAGTGAGGAGCCCCTCTGCCCAGCTGCCACCCCGTCTGGGAGGTGTACCCAACAGCTCACTGAGAACGGGCCATAATGACGATGGTGGTTTTGTCGAATAGAAAGGGGGAAATGTGGGGAAAAGAAAGAGAGATCAGATTGTTACTGTGTCTGTGTAGAAAGAAGTAGACATAGGAGACTCCATTTTGTTCTGTACTAAGAAAAATTTCTCTGCCTTGGGATGCTGTTAATCTATAATCTTACCCCCAACCCCGTGCTCTCTGAAACATGTGCTGTGTCAACTCAGGGTTAAATGGAAACGATGCTTGAAGGCAGCATGCTCGTTAAGAGTCATCACCACTCCCTAATCTCAAGTACCCAGGGACACAAACACTAAGGAAGGCCGCAGGGTCCTCTGCCTAGGAAAACCAGAGACCTTTGTTCACCTGTTTATCTGCTGACCTTCTCTCCACTATTGTCCTATGACCCTGCCAAATCCCCCTCTCGGAGAAACACCCAAGAATGATCAATAAATACTAAAAAAAAATAAATAAATGAAATAACTGATGCTGGTGAGATTAAAAAGAAAAAGGAATACTTAAAAAAAAAAAAGTTGCCTGATTTTTTAGTTTTTCAAGAGTAGCTTAAATCTGGATCACGTGGAACCTCCTGATTTTTAAATACTGGCAAATAAATGATTTTCTAATAATTGTAAAAGCCAATTTGCTAATCAAAGTAAACCCAACATGCCTACTAGAAAAAAAAAAAGAAGATTATAAGAGAACACAATGTTTAACTATGCCAACAAACTCAACAACTTACATGAAATGGACAAATTTCTTGGAAAATTGAACCTATCAAAAATAACACAAGAAAGAAAAAGTCTAAGTAGCCATATATTTTTTAAAGACATCAAATCTGTTATTTAAAATATTTCAAAAATGGAAATTCTAAGTCCATATGATTTCACTGGCAAATTCTATGAAACATTCAAGAAAAAGATTAAACCAATTCTACATACACTTTTTCAGAAAACAGAAAAGGGATCAAAGCCCAACTCATTTTATAAGGATAGCATAATGCTGACACTAAACAAAAAATAAGAATCACAGACCATTAATTGAGGCACAAAAATCTTTAACAAAATTTTAGCAAATTAAATCCAATACTATATAAAAAGGTATACCATGAGCCACCACAGTTATCACAATAATGCATTTTTGGTTTAACATTTAAAAATCAATCCGTGTAATACATCATATTAACAGATTAAAGAAGAAAATGCTCAGGATCAGTCTAATAGACACAGAAAAGGTATTTGACAAAATCCAATAGACATTCATGATAAAAATTCTCCACACACTAGAAGAGTAAAGAACTTTATCAAATAACTGAGGACAAATACAAAAAGCTAAAACCAATATAATACTTAAAGGCAAAAGACTGAATTATTTTCTCCTGAGAAGAGTAAAGCAAGAATGCTTGATATCACCACTTTCTAGTCAACACTATACTGGAATAAAGCAAGAAAAAGAGGTGTAAAGCATAAAGATCGGAAATAAAGAAGTAAAATCTCTTATTTGTGGAACATGATCATTTGTGTAGAAAATTCCAGAATCTAAAAAACAACTACACTATTATAAGAAATGAATTTAACAAGATTGCAGGATACAAAGCTGATGTAAAAAAAAATCAAGTATATTCTTACATATTAGTAGCAGACAATTAGGAAATAAAAGTTTGCTTTAAATCCCACTCATGGGCAGATGGATATTGGTATATATTAATACTTATATATCTCTTTCCCACCAAAATGGGAAAATAAAGAAAGATGACCACACAGAATCTAGGAAATAGAAAGTCCACCAAAGGAAAAAGCCCAAGAGAATCCCCAAGATGGTGGTAAAAAGAAGTTCCAAAATGGCAGCTCCCCAGAGGCTAGAAAGCAAGCAGCTCAGAACCAACAGGACACAGAACCCCGAAAGAGACAGTGCCAAGAGAAAACCAGAACTGAAGAATTCTCTAATCTGCTTTACCCTTTGAGTTGTTATAGTTCTATAAGAATATTTAGAACAAAATTATTGTTTGATAAATAGAAAGCTAAGCAAATAAAATGGTCTGTCTCTATTGGAGAAACAGTTGGAGAAAGAAATTATGATCACTGAAAACTCTGTGGTCACTGTCATCAACATTCAAATGATAATACTGTAAATACTGAATGATGGCTTGACCAAAACTTAGGTAAAATTATCATTGAGAGGATGGGGAAAGGGAAATAGGAGGAGCCAAATCCTTACCTTGTATAGGAAGAAGTCAAAATATAATGTTTGCAATTGAAAACTACAGGCTATAGGAGTGAAAATATATTATTTAGATATATGGCAGTGAATGCGACTAGAAACAGCAAAAAAAAAAAAAAAACTTTCAAAACGGTTGCCTCAGAGAGAGAAGCAGGAAGCATACAGCATAGGAATTTTTCTTTCCAAGCCTTGTATTACTATTTACTTACAATTTAAACCAGGCATGACCACTTTACTAAAATTAAAAATTAAAAATAATATACTTTAGATTTCTGTGAAAACTTTGTTTAAATGTAAACTTCATACCACACTGTCAGTTTCTGTCTTAATAAAACTATAGATTTATAAAAAATAATAAATACTATAAATAAAAATCTATAGTGTGCAACCTTGAAGGCTCTATCAAGAAAATACTTTTAACTGAATACGATTTCTCCAAATAAGTTTACCGACAAAATTAGTTGGAATAAAACATATAAGAGTATATAAATAATTACAAAAAATTAACTCTTACTGATAAATTGAAGAATGAATCGTTCAATAAAAGCATTTAGTAAAATACTACAAAAACAGTCCTATATCAAATATCTCCGGTTTCCTGATAAATACTGCAAATGGCAGTTAAGTAAAAAAATTTTGTCAAAAATACTGACATCATTCTAAAGAATATACAATATGCCCATGGGATCTTCTAAACATGATCACAGGCATTCTATTTCAGTTCTTTGGCTGTCTGCAGTAACACGAAGTACTTTCAAATACTACACAAGAGCTCCAAAGACCACTTCCTTGCATTCATAGCAGAGCTGCCCTGAATGGACACTTTACCAGTCATTTCAAACAGAATGACTCTAAACTCCACTCCAGCCAGTGTGCAGAGGGTGAACTGAGTCTAAGGATTTTTTCTTAACTTTTTGTAGGGACATTTCATTATGTTACCCAGGCTGGTCTTGAACTCCTGGCCTCAAGCAATCCTCCTGCCTCAGCCTCCCAAAGTGCTAGAATTACAGGCATGAGCCACTGAGCCCAACCAGGGTTTCATTTTAAATAGCTTTCAAATCACAAAGGTATCAGGAAGGAAGAAGAGAGGAGAAAAAATATAAAATTTTGAAAAGTATATACATTTTTAAATACTGGTAACTTTTTTTTTTTTTTTTTGGAGACAGAGTCTCACTCTGTCACCCAAGGTGGAGTCCAGTGACGTGATCTCAGCTCACTGCAACCTCTGCCTCCCGGGTTCAAGCGATTTTCCTGCCTCAGCCTCCTGGGTTCAAGCAATTCTCCCACCTCAGCCTCCCGGGTAGCTGGGATTACAGGCGCCAGCCACCACACCCAGCTAATTTGCTTATATTTTTAGTAGAAGCGGGATTTCACCACGTTGGCCAGGCTAGTGTCAAACTCCTGACCTCAAGTGATCCGCCCACCTCGGCCTCCCAAAGTCCTAGGATTACAGGCGTGAGCTACCACACCCGTCCAATACTGGTAACTTTTTTTTTTTTTTTTTTGAGACGGAGTCTTGCTCTGTCGCACAGGTTGGAGTGCAGTGGCGTGATCTCGGCTCACTGCAACCTCCACCTCCCGGGTTCAAGTGATTCTCCTGCCTCAGCCTCCCGAGTAGCCGGGACTACAGGCACGTGCCACCATGCCTGGCTAATTTTTTGTATTTTTAGTAGACATGGGGTTTCACCGTGTTAGCCAGGATGGTCTCGATCTCCTGACCTCATGATCCGCCTGCATCGGCCTCCCAAAGTGCTGGGATTACAGGCATAAGCCACTGCACCCAGCCCAACACTGGTAACATTTCAACCCATTCCTTTAGATGTTTGTTAGGAGATTATCTGGAAATTCTAAAATACTATCCACAGTTCCATCCAATCAGAAACATTTCAATTAAATGAAAAATGTTAATATACCTAAGAAAACACTCAAGGGAACTCTACAGATGTAGGCTCCATCCTCTGGAGCAATTTCTCACTGAAGATTTATGTGACCCAGGTACTTATTCCTGTGTTTGTAAAGCATAATCTGTGATTATGCAACTGAATATTACAGACACCCCAGGCCATTCTGTGTTTAAAAGTAAGTGTTTATGGCTATAACTTGCCAAACAACCATAATACCACTTAACCTCGGTTCAACTACTGCTTGAATGGACTTGTTAGGATTACACTGAAATACAAACACAAAATGAATACTAGGCCAAGGAATGTGATGTCAATATACTGAAAGAGGAAGAAAAATTCCTTACATAATGCTCCTTAGTCACTAGGACAGAATGTACATGAATATTTAAATTCTACGTACTGAAAACGTAAATGTAGAACACAGACAGAAATAGCGAATTGTAAATTTTGGAAAAAGAAGTAAATTCCTCTAAGAGGAATGTCATCTCAAAAAACAGCTCCTTGTAGATGGCAATAAAGTATAATGTTGTTTCTGAGTCTATTCAAGTAAATTAATCTGGATACGGGAGAAAAAAAGAAATTGAGAATTTTGTTTAAATGTATTGTTCAGAGCAGAATGCCCAAGGTTTTATTTGAATCTATGCATACTGATAGCAACTAAAAGTCATTACCACCCAATTGCTTCCTGGAAGCTGACTAATTCTGAGTGCACAAGTCTACACAGGAAGGTGAGCCAGCATACTCATTCTCTTCTGTCAGGCAATCACCCAGTATATACTGACCAAAAACATGTCCTTTAAAAAATTAAAACCATGAACGAGACAGTATCATAATATCTGAACTGTGGTTTCTCATATTTTCTAACCTCTTAATAAAATAAAGGGTTCAGCAAATAAGTCTGAGTTCATCAGATTTGTTTCAACCATTCAGCAATCATGTTAAACTTGAGATGCATTAAGGAGATCAAGTAAGGGTTAAGAGGCTGACACCATCACCTGACCTCTAGACTATGCCACTTAGAACTGTTTTATTTTACCACTCAAGTGAAATGTGACACAAGAGTATACAAAGAATACATGTGAAACCATACCTTTGCTTAAACTCCAATTATAGTGAACATTATTGAGAAACAACCATCCATAGCTCCATAAAACACTCAATTATGCCTATAATAAAATAATAATAGATATTTTAATATGCTTTGAAGACTCTGGCCAGGCACGGTGTTGCAGGTCTGTAATCCCAGCACTTTGGGAGGCAGAGGCAGGTGGATCACTTGAGCTCAGGAGCTGAAGACCAGCCTGGACAACAGGGTGAAACCCTGTCCCAACCAAAACAAAACAAAACAAAACAAAAATTAGCCAGGCATGGTGATACATGCCTGTAGTCCCAGCTACTTGGGAGGCTGAGGTGGGAGGATCACTTGAGCCAGGGAGGTCGAGGATGCAGTGAGCTGAGATCACACCACTGCACTCCAGCCTAGGTGACAAAGCAAGACTATGTCTCTAAAAAAATAAAAATAAAAATAAACTTTGAGGCTGCCTTCTGTTACTTTCATCAGTAGAGACAGACCATTTTAATCTTTCATCTTTCATGAATAAACAATCCATTACAGAAATATTGTCCTTATCATTACTCAAGGTAAGGCAACCATTACTACAATTCCACTTCGAAATTCATTTTGATTACCACTGCCCAATGTTCTAACAAGTATTTCTTATTCACACTAATAATACTCAGGATAATGGCTGATTAAATATAAAGTGAACTACTTAGTCTAATAGTATGTCACCAATGAGAAAACAGCATTATTTATCAAGGTCATCCTGTTATTTAATAAATAGAATTAAAGATCAACTTCCCCCATTTAGTGGCCTTTTTCACTCCAAAATACCACTCTTATTATTAAATTCATTTAGTATTTGCCTTTATATTATAGTATTAATGTATATCACTTTTATTATAAGTACTTTCTATAGAATAGATACTGCAGAGCCTGGACTATTTCTGCTTATGTTAAATTATTACTATTTAAAAACAAGATATACAAATATAAATAACATAGAAACTAAACTGTGATGTCACAGACACAAGGTACCATTTATGATTTGGCAAAATCCTGGGCGACTGTTGAGCATCACAGTTGGAATCAAGACCTTTGAATCCTAGATTCATAACTGACCTTGGGCACGCAAGTTGGCCTCTCTGACTCTCCATTTCTAAACGCTTCAACTTCACCTGAGTAACACCCACATGAAGAAATGAGATAATGTATGCTCTTAGTACATATATGTATAATAAGCTCTTAGTAGCCACCAAAAATAAGTACTGCCCCTTACTGTTGTGTTGGTGTTACTACTGAAGGGCAATTATACAGCAGTCACACTAAAGGAGTTACACTTAAGCAATGCACACACCTGTCTTTAAAAGTCTATCCCAATAGTGAAACAAGAATACCACAAAAATAAGAGCCAAAGACAAAAACCACATGATTATCTCAATAGATGCAGAAAAAGCCTTTGACAAAATTCAACAACCCTTCATGCTAAAAACTCTCAATAAATCAGGTATTGATGGGACGTATTTCAAAATAATAAGAGCTATCTATGACAAACCCACAGCCAATATAATACTGAATGGGCAAAAACTGGAAGCATTCCCTTTGAAAACTGGCACAAGACAGGGATGCCCTCTCTCACCACTCCTATTCAACATAGTGTTGGAAGTTCTGGCCAGGGCAATTAGGCAGGAGAAGGAAATAAAGGGTATTCAATTAGGAAAAGAGGAAGTCAAATTGTCCCTGTTTGCAGACGACATGATTGTTTATCTAGAAAACCCCATCGTCTCAGCCCAAAATCTCCTTAAGCTGATAAGCAACTTCAGCAAAGTCTCAGGATACAAAATCAATGTGCAAAAATCACAAGCATTCTTATACACCAACAACAGACAAACAGAGAGCCAAATCATGAGTGAACTCCCATTCACAATTGCTTCAAAGAGAATAAAATACCTAGGAATCCAACTTACAAGGGATGTGAAGGACCTCTTCAAGGAGAACTACAAACCACTGCTCAATGAAATAAAAAAGGACACAAACAAATGGAAGAACATTCCATGCTCATGGATAGGAAGAATCAATATCGTGAAAATGGCCATACTGCCCAAGGTAATTTACAGATTCAATGCCATCCCCATCAAGCTACCAATGACTTTCTTCACAGAATTGGAAAAAACTACTTTAAAGTTCATATGGAACCAAAAAAGAGCCCGCATCGCCAAGTCAACCCTAAGCCAAAAGAACAAAGCTGGAGGCATCACACTACCTGACTTCAAACTATACTACAAGGCTACAGTAACCAAAACAGCATGGTACTGGTACCAAAACAGAGATATAGATCAATGGAACAGAACAGAGCCCTCAGAAATAATGCCGCATACCTACAACTATCTGATCTTTGACAAACCTGAGAAAAACAAGCAATGGGGAAAGGATTCCCTATTTAATAAATGGTGCTGGGAAAACTGGCTAGCCATATGTAGAAAGCTGAAACTGGATCCCTTCCTTACACCTTATACAAAAATCAATTCAAGATGGATTAAAGATTTAAACGTTAGACCTAAAACCATAAAAACCCTAGAAGAAAACCTAGGCATTACCATTCAGGACATAGGCATGGGCAAGGACTTCATGTCCAAAACACCAAAAGCAATGGCAACAAAAGGCAAAATTGACAAATGGGATCTAATTAAACTAAAGAGCTTCTGCACAGCAAAAGAAACTACCATCAGAGTGAACAGGCAACCTACAAAATGGGAGAAAATTTTCGCAACCTACTCATCTGACAAAGGGCTAATATCCAGAATCTACAATGAACTCAAACAAATTTACAAGAAAAAAACAAACAACCCCATCAAAAAGTGGGCGAAGGACATGAACAGACACTTCTCAAAAGAAGACATTTATGCAGCCAAAAAACACATGAAAAAATGCTCATCATCACTGGCCATCAGAGAAATGCAAATCAAAACCACTATGAGATATCATCTCACACCAGTTAGAATGGCAATCATTAAAAAGTCAGGAAACAACAGGTGCTGGAGAGGATGTGGAGAAATAGGAACACTTTTACACTGTTGGTGGGACTGTAAACTGGTTCAACCATTGTGGAAGTCAGTGTGGCGATTCCTCAGGGATCTAGAACTAGAAATACCATTTGACCCAGCCATCCCATTACTGGGTATATACCCAAATGACTATAAATCATGCTGCTATAAAGACACATGCACACGTATGTTTATTGCCGCATTATTCACAATAGCAAAGACTTGGAACCAACCCAAATGTCCAACAATGATAGACTGGATTAAGAAAATGTGGCACATATACACCATGGAATACTATGCAGCCATAAAAAATGATGAGTTCATGTCCTTTGTAGGGACATGGATGAAATTGGAAATCATCATTCTCAGTAAACTATCGCAAGAACAAAAAACCAAACACCGCATATTCTCACTCATAGGTGGGAATTGAACAATGAGATCACATGGACACATGAAGGGGAATATCACACTCTGGGGACTGTGGTGGGGTGGGGGGAGCGGGGAGGGATAGCATTGGGAGATATACCTAAGGCTAGATGACGAGTTAGTGGGTGCAGTGCACCAGCATGGCACATGTATACATATGTAACTAACCTGCACAATGTGCACATGTACCCTAAAACTTAAAGTATAATAAAAAAAAAAAAGAAAGAAAAAAAAAAAAAGAATACCACAAAAATAAAACAAACAAAATGTACAAAAAACATAAAAGCTGCCCCAGAAAAGGTCTAGTATATTTTCTAACAACAACGAAAAAGTCTAAGTTCTATTCTGACTTGAGTAAAAAAGGTTTAAGATTTCACACTGAAGACATTTACTACTTAACCCCCAATGCCCCGGAAATAAATCTTTTAATAAGAATTAACTAATGTTTTAATTAAAAAAAAAAAAAAAAAAAGGAAGGCCGGCACGCTGGCTCATGCCTGTAGTCCCAGCACTTTGGGAGGCCGATGCAGGGGAGTTACCTGAGGTGAGGAGTTCGAGACCAGCCTGGCCAACATGGTGAAACCCCGTCTCTACTAAAAACCCAAAAACTAGTCAGACGTGGTAGTGGGCGCCTGTAATCCCAGCTACTCAGGAGGCTGAGGCAGGAGAATCGCTTGAACCCCGGAGGCAGAGGTTGCAGTGAGCCAAGATGGCGCCATTGCACTCCAGCCTGAGAAACAAGAGCAAACCTGTCTCCAAAAAAAAAAAAAAAAAGGCCGGGCACGGTGGCTCACACCTGTAATCCCAGCACTTTGGGAGGCCGAGGCGGGCAGATCACGAGGTCAGGAGATCGAGACCATCCTGGCTAACACGGTGAAACCCCGTCTCCAGTAAAAAATACAAAAAAATTAGCCGGGCGCGGTGGCGGGCGCCTGTAGTCCCAGCTACTAGAGAGGCTGAGGCAGGAGAATGGCAGAAACCCGGGAGGCGGAGTTTACAGTGAGCAGAGATCGCGCCACTGCACTCCAGCCTGGGAGACACAGCGAGACTCCATATCGGGAAAAAAAAAAAAAAAAAAGCAATGAATGTTCATTAGCTTTTTTATAAAAGTGAAAAATTAGAAACAGGCTAAACGTCCATCCAATGGGAATATATGAAAAAATGTATACAGCTATTAAAAGAATGAGAGAAGTTTATATATCCTTACATGGAATGATCGAAGACATGCTGTTAAGTTTAAAATAAAAAGGCACAAACACACAAAGTATTACTATTTATGTTAAGACAACCAAAAAAATGTATGTCACATACATACATATTTATGCACTTACATGCATACCAAAGGATTAAAAGTATGCAACTAACAGTGACCTCTGGGCATTATTCTGCATAATTTTGTGTTATTTGACGATTTCTGTGAGACCATATTTATATATTTCTTGTGTAACTTATAGATCCCAAGAAAAGCAAGCTAATAAACGCACTAGGTTAAAACTGAGTAAAAATAAGTTTTAAAAAGCACTTTATACTTTACAAAAATCCTTTAACATATTACTTAACTTGATCCCCACAATAAGCTTTAGAAATTACAGTAGTGTCCTTACTTTTAAAGAGAGAACAGACTCAAGTAGTTATTAATCCACAGTTAATAAATGCAGAGCCACACGCCTGTAATCCCAGCACTTTGGGAGGCCGAGGCGGGTGGATCACGAGATCAGGAGATGGATACCATCTTGGCTAACACAGTGAAACCCATCTCTGCTAAAAATACAAAAACAAAATTAGCCAGGCATGGTGGCGGGCGCCTGTAGTCCCAGCTACTCGAGAGGCTGAGGCAGGAGAATGGTGTGAACCCAGGAGACGGAGTTTGCAGTGAGAGATCACGCCACTGCACTCCAGCCTGGGCGTCAGAGCGAGCTCCATCTCAAAAATAAAATAAAATAATAAATGCAGAGCCAAAACAGAAACATGGTCCCAACTCTAAATTCAATGTTTATACTACAGCACCTCCAAAAACTGAAAACACTGGCATCTATACCAAGGCATTCTCTCTCTCTGCAGTGCTTCTGGTTCCTGTGAAAGTTCAAAGTGCAGAGGAAAAGGCAGTAGAATAGGAGTCAAAAGACCTGGATTCTAGTCTTGACTACACCACCACTAAGACTTCATGATAAGTCAAACTCCACAACAGTAATTATCTGTAGCTGCACAACAGATTCAACAGTGATGCTTTTAAAAAATACTAACTACCCAGGCCTGACCTCTAGAGATTAAGACTTAATTGGTCTGGGCTATCAGGACTTCTATTAAAAGCTCCCCAGGTTATTCAAGAACCACAGCTTTAAGACTTAGTAGCCTTGGCCAGGCACAGTGGCTCATGCCTGTAATCCCAGCACTTTGGAAGGCAGAGGCAGGAGGACGGCTTGAGCCCAAGAGTTCAAGACCAGCCTGGGCAAGATGGCAAAACCCCATCTCTTAAAAAAAAAAAAAAATTAACCAGGCATGTTGGCAGACAACTGTAGTCCCAGCTACTCAGGAGGCTGAGGTAGGAGGATGGCTTGAGCCAGGGAGGTAGAGGTTGCAGTGAGCCAAGATCTCAGCACTGCACGACAGCCTGGGTGACAGAGCCAGACCCTGCTAAAAAAAAAAAAAAATACTTAATAGCCTTGCCTGATAAAAATAAAAAATGTTAAAAACCATGTGTGCTACATACTTCACATAGTTGAAGGAAGAATGCAATAATATATAAACAACAAAATGCCTTAGAAATGCAAAGGAATTATTATTTATTAATTTAAACATGTACTAAACTTGTATGCTCCACTGGGATAGAGAGAAGCTGAGAAACTACCATGTCATCAAACAACTACTGAGCAGTGAGAAAAGGCACACAGACGACACAAAGGCAGTCATGACTAATAACCTCAGGGTCTCAAAGTGCCTACGGGCAATAGTGGAAAGAGGGCTTTGAAAAGGCCGTGCAGAGGAGACTCTTGAGCTAGATTTTGGCATTATCGACAGTGGGGCACAGCATAGGTAGGCAAGTAATTCAAGATGTTCTAGGCCCAGCAGGGTGGCTCATGCCTGTAATGGGATGAGCTGGGGCACTTTGGGAGGCTGAGGCAGGAGGATTGCTTGAGCCCAGGAGTTCAAGACTAGCCTGTGCAACATGTGAGACCCTGTTTCTACAAAAAAATAAATTAGCCAGGCATGTGATGTGGTCCCAGCTACTCAGCAGGCTGAGATGGGAGGATGGCTTGAGCCCAAAAGGTCAAGGCTGCAGTGAGCCGTGATCGCACTACTACACTCCAGCCTGGGCAACAAGAAAAAAAAAAATTGGCCTAGCATGGTGGCTCATGCCTGTAATCCCAGCACTTTGGGAAGCTAAGGCAGGTGCATCACTTGAAGCCAGGAATTCGAGACCAGCCTGGCCAACATGGGTGAAACCCATCCTCTACTAAAAATACAAAAATTAGCTGGGTGTGGTGGCATGCGCCTGTAGTCCTGGCTACTGGGGAGGCTGAGGCATGAGAATCGCTTGAGCCCAGGAGGCAGAGGTTGCAGTGAGCCAAGATCGCACTACTGCACTCCAGCCTTGGCTACACAGTGAGACTCTGTCTCAAAAAAAAAAAAAAATTGATGTTCTGCTGGAATATGCAGATGATGTGCTGTAGGCCAGAGGTTCTCAGCAAGAGGTCTCAGGGCTCTGAGGAGTCTGCAAGGTCATAATTATGTTAATAATAAAACCAAGACACATAATCACCAAAAATTAGAAACAACCCAAATATCCTTTAACTGGTAAGTGCACAAACTGTGATATATTCATATACTGGGACAGGACTCAGCAATAAAAATAAATTAGTGACACACACAACACAACTGAATCTCAAATGTCTTATGTTAAATGAAAGTAGCCAGATTCAAAAGGCTATATACTGTATAATTCCATTTATACGACAGTCATGAAACGGCCAGACTAAGGGTGGGAAGAGAAAATAGGTCAGAGGGTGCAGGGGTTGGGGAGGGGAACATTTGGGAAAGATGGAAATGTTTCATATCTGCACTGTATTTACAACCATATGTGTTTACATTAAAAAGGGTGGGTTTCCCTGAATATGAATTAAACCTTGATAAATCTAACTTTCAAAAATAACGTCACTTGCCTTTTTCACTCCCGTTAAGAGTACAGTGTTTGCCAGAAGCCACATGACTGTGATGATGCCATCATTCTGCAACTAAGGAATGTGTGCTTGTATATTCTTAGGTTTTATATTTTCTCCATTTTAATACTTCTAATACAGTAAATAGTCATGAATGTAACAGACATAAACAAAAACTCTCCTGAGTCCCCAATAATTTTTTAACAGCGTAAAAGGTTTCTGAGACCAAGAGAGTTTCAGAACCACTGCTGTAGATAAGGAGGAGGCCCTGAAGTGTTCTAGCAAGGGAAACAGGAAAGAAGAACTGATGGAGGGAAACTAGTAAAGAAGTAATTACAGGATCTGATTAAGGCTGATCCCGGGACTAGAAAGAAAATAGGTCCACACATCATCTGTACCTTGTTATAAATCCCAAGCCTGTTTCTGGGCTGACACTTTGCTGGTGCATTCAAGTTTTGCAAACTAATTTCTGTTAACTGGTAATATAGTTAGGAAATAAAATCTGCTATAGGAGTCATCCTACAACACATTACTAATCAGTGATTTGTGGATTATTTACTCAGTTGCCAATGTCCTTCTTCAAAAGATGACAATCATTTAAAATTGACCTTTACACATTTTGAGCTTGAAAATTAAGCATCCTAAAGAGGCTCAAAAACTAACTTATAAGTGATTCAGTACCTCATGATCAATTAGGCAAATTAGGTAGTTGTTTAAAAAGCCAATGTGTTACTTCTCTAAAATATGTTTTCACTTGTATCCAGAAACACTATGACAATCTCAACTCAGCACAATTTTTTCTATGCAATGTGGTTTTCTGGATGGGAGGGGAGGGTGATTACGTTGTTTCTGTCTTTGTTTGGCATAGTTCCCTTTCCTCCTAGGGAAAACTCATTTCTAAATACAAGCTCTGTAAATTCCAAATTATTTCAAGTACAGATCTTTTTCTACAGTCTTCTCATACCCAGAACTATTATAGTACTTTGGTATGCCACAGAGAGGTAGAGAAATTATTCTTAAAACCATCCATGTCTTTAAGCTTTAAGCAAACAGAAAACAGATTGACTGATGACAGCTTGATCAATCAATCACTGGATGAAGGTGATAAGTATTAGAAGAAAGGATAATCCCTTTCCCAAAAAAGGTAAATACAGTTTTACAAGCCATTTTAAATGAGTGAGACTGTGAGTGTGCGTGTGTGTGCACACGTAACTGCCATTACATATTGCTTCTCTAATTGTTTTAAGTAACCAACCCCACTAACACCTCAGCTAATACCAAACAGATGGAAATCTGTCTGGAGAATTCAAGTTGCCACTTTTCAAAAAATTCACCTATACTTCTATTACAGAAGCCTGAGAAACTCCAGACTCCTGCAAAAGTATCTGTGAATTATTAAGATAAAGTGAAATTACATCGTTACCTGAAAGTATAGTCCTTTGATTCTACTTTTCATAAAAATCTTGGAAATTAGACTACAGTCAACACTACAGGATATTTTAATTGGAAATTTCACCTAAAGATTGAAAAGGGGGAAATAATTCATCTGAAATACATGCAAAGATTGAAAAGGGGGAAATAATTAATTTGAGATACATGTACAATGCAGATAAAAATATCAATTTGATCAAAGATGAAATTTCCGTAAATTTGTTAAAGCCAAATGGTTTCTGCAGGAAACCTGTTTTCTGTGACTCAAATCCAAAATGGAAAACGTGGGTGGTTCTTCCTGTCTCACCATTAGAGTCAGCCAATTGGCTGGTGAAGCTTTCACACAACTTCAGCTCAAACCCCAGCCTTCCATCTGCTTTAACACTGCCATACCTTAGTGGAATGAAAGAGGAATAAAGGCTTTCTCTAGCCTCAAAGGAAGTCTTTCACAGGGAACCTTTGGTTTATTCTATCTACACCATACTTGATCAAACTGCCCATTTTTTAAAACTTCAAATCCAAAAGATGTGATAAATAGTACGAGCTAAATCACAAAATAATTCAAGGGCATTAAAACTATCTCTGATTGTGGAGCTGATTTCTAAAAAAACAGCAAACTCATCTCTCAAGTACGAAACTCCAGTGGCAACACACATGCCGGCTCCTTGAACACAGCAGCATCTCTTCCCCAGCCACATGGCACTCACCATTTGCCATGACGGGCCGCCAACAGAGACCACATGTGAACTTCTAAACATGTGACTCCACCAGAATGGAGTATGAACCCAATATTTCTGTAGGGTATGTCTGCGTGTCCACCTAAAGCTACTAAATTAGCTAGTGTGACGCATTTAACTGAAAATATCACACGCAACAGTATGCCTTCAGTGAGAAAAGACCACTAGTACATGATACTAGCATGGTAAAACAATTGTGCATACACTGCTGCCCAACTGAATCTTAAATCCTTAAAGCACTGGAAAACCTGCTAGTGCAAGACAATAAAAATTCAGGCAGCTGCTTCCAATGGTGATGTAAGGACCCCACATGGCAAACTGCTCAGGGGTAGCTACTGTCCAGTTCCTAAAGATTCCAGGCCCACTTAAAAATCCTAAGGTCTCAGGAGGCTTTTTTCTCAAAAACTGCTAAAAGGCTCATACAGTTCACCCCACGTAGTAGAAAAAGGCCCTTGATAGGCCACCAGTGACTGCACAGCAAGTTCTTACGTAATGACTTATCTGGTAGTCACACAGGAAAACCCGTTGACCAGGATAAAGTGAGGGGCCCAGGTTCTCAGATAGCCATCTCAAGGGAACTGTTGTTACATGGAGCCACTGAAATGTGAAATACACACACACTATTTGTAAATGTGAATTTTAGAAAGTATATGTATGGAAGCACTAAGCATATCATGAACAAATACAGACCATAAGCTTGTAGAGCCAAAAAAGACCCAATACCCCATTACCACTGTAATACTCTTAATTTTACCAATAAAATTAAGTCAAAACCTCCTGACTGCCAGCCCAGTGCTCCTAATAGTACACCTGCTTTCTTATCAACTGTGAAAACTACATTTTGGAGTATACTAAAATTGAGTTACAACTCAGTTGCATGATCAATATCTCATTTAACCATGTGCTGCAAAAGCAAAATTTACATAAAAGATTAAGAAGTAAAAACCTTTATCATATCCCTAGTGAAGGGGGAAGGGTACAGTGAGGTTTGCTGTCTTTCTCCATACCAGTATAATTTTATCCTCAGGAAAAAAAAATATATATAAACTATATATACAAATCATCTCTCTTTTCAAAAACTGCTGCCAAAACCAGTACATCTAGGAAAAAGACACAAAATATGATGTCTTACTACCCTTACGAAGAATGGCATAAATAACAATCCTTTCTTAAGGTTTAAAATATTTTCTAAGTTTTTTTCACTGTGCTATCATTAATTTCCTCTAATGTAATTTTAGAACAGATCAAGTAGATACATTTCCTCATTTCAGTTTCTTTAAAACTTTGATTTGCTGACACTTCTTCTAAGACAATAATCAACAGTGATCTCTCATTCTGTTCATTTTCTCAACTTCCAAAAGGCAATTCCTCAAGTAAGCACATTTTTGCAAGACTAAAATAATGCACATACTTACACACATAAAAAGAGAAAGACATAAATACTTTGTATAGGATGAAATAACTGCGTGACTTTTGAAATTTTTAAGATAAAATGCAGACCTCAAAACAAGTTCGTAATTGCTCCCTGGGTTATCTCCAAAGAGAGGCTTGTACATTCGTCTCCTATTGATACTTCAGTGAAAATCTGTGACAAAAATTCATCCCAACTCTGCCGTTAACTAGCTGTGTGATAGATACTGGGCAGGTCGTGTAAGCTTTGGACTTAGGCTCATATAAAAAGTTGGCATATCTGATTTCTATAGTATTTTCTAGGTTTCTTAATATCTTCCTAAGACATTATCTATCATCTTTATTGTCACTGAATTCTAAAGGTCAAATATATCTTTAGATAATAAAAATAACCATTCATAAACTACCTTACGCCCTAGAACTCAATAGAAGACTACCATCAGCTTATCTGAAACCTTTAGAACATTATAAGCTTTATCTTCATTAAATGTTATCGCTTTGTCTCATGTTTTAGCATTTTGTAAAAAGTTTAGATTAGTAGAAATGTACTCTCACATCTAGATGACCCCGAAGCACTGTTCAACTCTCACAAGATGGGAGATCTTGATGCCTTCACTTCCTTCCTCATCCATCCTCCATCACCACAGTACCCTCATACCCTGAAACTCAACTTTTTGGGCCACAATGTTGACAACAAAAACCTTTTAAACCACTTATGTTAAAAATCAGCTACATGTCCAAGTCTGTATCTGAGAATCTCTGTATGCATTTTTATCATTTAGTACTCTCGATTTTAAGATCTAAAGAACCAGTTCCATTGATAATATCTGCATAATCTCATGACTCTTCATCTGAATCTGAGTTCCCTGTTTATTGCCAAACAAGCAAGGAGGTTCCAGAAAACTGTATACAACACAACTCATGCACTTACTTTCTTTATATACCAACTGATGATTTTGCCATCCTCAATTAAGTCAATTAAAAAAACAACCAGTAGGACTGAGAATCTGTCATTTTACCAGTAGGAATCCCAAAAAGCAGCTGCTTTTGCCAAGTTCATTCATTCAACACATTTATTATCTACTATGTGGCAGGCACTTTTTATTTTTCATCCTGGGGATATATAAACAGACAAAAGTCCCTGCCTTCATATGCTCTACTGAAGAAGATGACACACCATAAATAGAAACCATAATAGACAAATTATATGGAGGAGATGTACATATAAGGTGTATTAGTCTGTTCTCATGCTGCTAATAATGACATACCCGAGACTGGGTAATTTATAAAGAAAAAGAGGTTTAGTGGATTCACAGTTCCACATGGCTGGGGAGACCACACAATCATGGCGGAAGGTGAAGGAAGAGCAAAGTGACATCTTACATGGCGGCAGGCAAGAGAGCGTGTGCAGGGGAACTGCCCTTTATAAAACCATCAGATCTCATGAGACTTATTCACTATCATGAGAACAGCACAGGAAAAACCTGCCCCAATGATTCAGTTACCTCCCACTGGGTCCCTCCCACAATATGTGGGGAATATGAGAACCTCAATTCAAGATGAGATTTGGGTGGGTACACAACCAAACCATACCATAAGGTCAGAGGGGATACATGCTTGATATGGTTTAGATCTGTGTCCCCACCCAAATCTCAAGTTCAATTTTAATTCCCAGTGTTAGAGGTGGGGCCTGGTGCAAGGTGACTGGATTTTAGGGGTAGATCCTTCATGAATGATTTAGCACCATCCCTTTGGTGCTGTTCTCAAGTTCTCACGAGATCTGGTTATCTAAAAGTGTATAGCACCTTCCCACTCTCTCTCTTCCTCCTGCTCCAGCCATGCAAGACGTGCCTGCTTCCCTCTGCCATGACTAAAAGTTTCCTGAGGCCTCCCCAGAAGCTGTCATGCTTCCTGTACAGCCTGTGGAACCGTGAATCAATTAAATCTCTTTCTTTATAAATTACCCAGTCTCAGGTATTTATTTATACTAGTGCAAGAATTGACTAATACAGTGCTATTGCAAAGAAAAAGGACAGGCTGTTAAGAAAAAGGGATTCAGGAATGAATGGAGGGCAGGTGGGCTCAGTCTTAAACAGGACGGGGTCAGGGTAAGACTCACTACAAAGGCAGTGTCTGAGCAAAGACATGAAGGAGATGATGAAGTGAGCCAGACTGAAGTTTCCTAGTAATTCTTAACTTGTACCGACTATACACGTAATGGCAAATGCTTTAGCAAAAGAGTTATGTATGAGCAAATTTATAAACAACCCAGAGGACTAAAATAGAAGAGAGCTGTGTGTAAATCCCCTCCATTTTTGCAGCTTATTTTACCAAGTGAAACTTACAACTTCAATTAGGTATGCTTGGTGTGTTTTTACCCCAAGTGTTATTTTGAACAAAATTCTTACTTCTGTGATTCATTTTCCTCAAAATTCAAAAATAAATGTCCCACTATTCATTTGAAACATAAAAGAGCACCAGTGTTGGCCGGGCACAGTGGCTCATGCCTGTAATCCCAGCACTTTGGGAGGTCCAGGCAGGTAGATCATTTTGAGTTCAGTAGTTCAAGACCAGCCTGGGCAACATGGCAAAACCCGTCTCTACAAAAATACAAAAAATAGAGGCCAGGCACACTGGCTTATGGCCCAGTACTTTGGGAGGCCAAGGTGGACCACTCACTTGAGGTCAGGAGTTCGAGACCAACCTGGCCAATGTAACAAAACCTCGTCTCTACTAATAATACAAAAAAAAATTAGCTGGGCATGGTGGTGTGCACCTGTAATCCCAGCTACTTGGAAGGCTGAGGCACAAGAATTGCTTGAGCCCAGGAGGCAGAGGTTGCAGTGAGCCAAGATGGCACCACTGCACTGCAGCGTGGGTGACAGAGTAAAACTGTGTCTCAACAACAACAACAAAAATTAGCCGGCATTGATGGCTCATGCCTACAGTACCAACTACTTGGCAGGCTGAGGCTAGAGAATCGCTTGAGCCCAGGAAGCAGAGATTGCAGTGAGCGGAGATCATGCCACTGCGCTGCAGCCTGGGTGACAGAGTGAGACCCTGTTTCAAAAAAACAAAAGAGCACCAGTGTTATCAACCAACAACTCCACTAAGACATCCTGACTATTACGTCAGGGCTCAAATCCCAGTATGGGGAATCCAGGAGCTTTTCCCAGTGTGGAGAAACCTGTGCTTTCCTAGAGAGTTTAGTGGGAAATGAATAGGCTATGAAATCAGGCGGCCTTACCACCAACCAGTTATACAGTCTTGAGCAAATCACTTCAGCCCCTGGGCTTTGGTTTCCTCAACTATAAAAATCAGGGTGTTGGACCATGTGATTTCGAAGTTCCTTATAGGGCTAACTCTCTTTCACACACACACAAAAAAAAACTTCAGATAAATAGCCATCTATTAAAAATTATAACATTAGCCAAGCACGGTGACACACAGTCCCAGCTACTCGGGAGGCTGAAGGGGAGGATCACCTAAGCTTAAGCATAGGAGTTTGAGACTGCTGTGAGCTACGATCACGCCACTGCACTTCCCCCTAGGAGACCAGAGTAAGACCCTGTCTCTAACACATAAAATTTTTTTAAAATTATAATAATGTCATGATTTGTAATTCTGCTAACCCACCATCAGATTCATATTAATTTCATTCTTCAATATTCTTCAAATAACTAATGAATTTATACTAACTGATTCATAAGTCTCAACTCTCTCTGATCAGAAAAACAAATTCACAAGAATGGGTCTTGACTTGCAGTGGTATTCACCAAGGATTAAAAAAAAAAAACCCTGGAATTTCTCTGTCTTTGGCTTTCCTATCAACATACCCCTGCTAGCTTAAATAGAATTTTAAAGTAACACAACCATAAAATATTCTTTATATCCCTCAGTGAAATAGTATTTGTTGTTGCTGTATTTTGTAGAGACATGGTCTCACTCTGTTGCCCAGGCTGGAGTACAGTGGCACCATCATAGTTCAGTGCAGCCTTGAACTGGGCTCAAGCGATCCTCCTGCCTCAGCCTCCCTGGTAGCTAGGACAACAGGTGTGCTTTTTTTTTTTTTTTTTTTTGTAGAGACAAGGTCTTGCTATGTTGCCCAGGCTGGTCTTGAGCTCCTGGCCTTAAGTAACCCTCCTGCCACGGCCTCCCAAAGTGCTGGGATCACAGGCATGAGCCACGTGCCTGGCCCAAAAAGTACGTTTTTAAATAGTAGGTTTCCTTAAAAGTTTCACTTAAAAGCTTATATTATTGATTACTATTATACTGCTTATAATTATAATTAACATTATATTATTTTAAATTGATACTGTAATAAGTATCTGTTATTCATGGAGCCCCAAATCATCTTTGTTATGTTTTCACTACTTCCTTACTGTGTAAACCTCACTTCCCAATATAGAATTTAAAAAAAGAAAGCAAATAAGCAAATTGGGGGTATACAAGCAGACATGTTAATTAGGTTCCACCAACCAGACATACCACATGGGGCTCCTTCAGAACGGTGTTATGTAGGGAAAGTGGAAGAAGGGGGGTGAGTCTTGCTTGGGTTCCTGGTTTGCAGCACCCTGACTTTATCAGTAGCAGCAGCTCCTCAGCAGGCTTGTTCCACAGTGCAGAACTGGCAACCATTCCCAGAAACTCAGAGTACAGTCTCTTTTGTCAGCCTGCCCAATCTGCTAAACTAGCTATCACCCTTAATAAATCACTTGCTGCTTACACTACTAGAATAACTCTTAGTATCTGTAACAAAAAACCCCAACCAACACTCATAGCAAATATTCATTTCATTATTTCCACATACAAGAGCTGAGATTGAAAAGAAAACAACACACAAAACATTCCACCATACAAGCCAAGAATTCTTTGTTTCAAGCCAGGGCTTATATTCACAATCAACACTTCGAACCTTCCCTTATATGTACTTTCTCATAAATTTCATCACCTCTGCCATGCAAGGAGAAGAAAATGGTTTTTGCCTAACTAATTTTCTATCAATAAAGAGTCTGATGACAGTAACTTGGCAAGATATTTGAGAAGAGGATACAATAAACATCATTTTCTATACCAGCTCAAGTTTATGGAGAATCCTGCAGTGTTAGGTAGCACTTTCAGAACATTCCCCAACTGCAGGCAAGGTGATCTAATGCCGTATTTGAATGCCAAAATGATCAGTACTTCGTGCCAAGGCATAACTTAATTCACAAAGCAGCAGTGAACTTTTCACTGATTTCCTCCATCCCTCAGGGTAAGATAATCACGTTAAAACCACAGACACATCAGGCAACTAAAATAGGACACTATTATCTAATACTAAAAGCAGACTGGAAGCACTGAGAAGTGATTATGCATGTTAAAATTCTCTTCTTGGTATAAAGATTAAGTCCTATACAATTACTTGGCAAAGACGGAAAAAGTAATCAGCGGTTAATAATACTGGTCCTTAAAGTGGCAACAGAATCTTACAAAGGACATTTGATATCTTTGACTAATACTGTCAAACTACACAAGGTACTTTTCAGGTAATACTCAAAGGCAAAACTTTATAAAGATCGCTTACACGTTTCTGAAGGCCCTTAATGACACTGATAATGATTCAGTGCATCTCAATGCTCTGCCAAAGCACAAGTATGCATTGTCTCGGCACAGTGATTCAAGACAAGTCTCACTAATGTTAGTGACCCCCGGGCCCTGGGTCTCCAGGCACTCAGCAAGCTCTCCCTTTGTCATCGCAGTACCTCACCTTGCCTCCTGCTCCCTGAATGGCTTTTATCAAACAATTTATAGTGCACTTAGCTTTAGCACTGATGGTGGGGAGAAAGGGAATATGCAAAAGTTAAAACATAAACTATATTCTTCCCTAAGAACAAAGCAAATCAACTTGCTTAGGAAAACTTAGAGCTTGGCTACTTCAAAAACATTTTAAAATTTCATAGAGAATGTCTGCAAAGTAGTTACTACGATGACTCTCAAGCTTTACTACAACTACACATGTACCATATGTGTCCTCTGATTGCACCTGGCACACACAGTCTTTTTTTTTTTTTTAAGAAATGAAGTATCGGGCCAGGCGCGGTGGCTCACGCCCATAATCGCAGCACTTTGGGAGGCCAAGGCGGGCAGATTGCTTGAGGTTAGGAATTCAAGACAAGCCTGGCCAACATGGTGAAACCCCCCCTCTACAAAAATATGAAAATTAGCCAGGTGTGGTGACGGGCGCCTGTAATCCCAGCAACTCAGGAGGCTGAAGAGGGAAAATCACTTGAACCTGGGAGGCAGAGATTCCAGTGAGCCAAGATGGCCACTGCACTCCAGCGTGGGCAACAGAGCGTGACTCCATCTCAAAAAAAAAAAAAAAAGAAACAAATGAAGTATCTCTAGGCCAGAAATGACACACGGCCTACTTTAATTTTTCGTTTATCATGTTTAGACTCTAATCGCAATCTTATTGCAAGATTAAGGATATGATGCTCATTTGTTAATAGTATCAACATCAAAGGATACATGCATAATACCACAAATCAGTGATTCTCAAAGCTGGTTTGCAAAACAATACCTGCATCTGTAGGTCCTCAGAGAAACGGGGAAAAAAAAATTGTTTGAGTATTTCATAAGGCTAAATTTATCCAATTTCAATGGTTGATCTTTATTTTGAAATTGTGTCTTTTCCTATTCTTTTGGTATTCGAATGGCCTTTCTTTATAAAATGCTGAAAAAAATTAAGATTACATCTGTAAAATACAAGCAGATGGCTGGCACTACTCCACATCTTCTGCACCTTCTGCCCGTCTCCAACTTCCCAATTCCCCTCTTTCCAGTTGCTCAGGCAAAAAATAAAAATAAATACTAAAATAATACCTAGTGCCATTCTTCTTTCTTCCACATCCCAGTTCCAGGCCATGAGTATATCCTTCAGCTTCACATTGAAAACCTACCAACAGTCAACTACCCCATTTATTGCCACCACCAGGTCTAGTCACCATAATCACTCCCTCAGACCACCCCCACTGCCTCTTAACTGGCTCCCTACTTCAGCCCCACTCCCAAAAGGCTATTCTCAACACAGCAGCCTAGCGACTCTGTTAAAACCTAGGTAAGACCAGGTCAATGCTGCGCTTAAAACCCTTCAGGAGTCCCATCTCAGTGAGAGGAAATTCTTCAGCAAGCCCCACCTGCTGTCTCAATGCCTCTCTCAGCTCATCTCCGCTCCTCCATTACTAGCCATGTCCTTCTAGGCACCTGGCCTTGGGTTCTTCACACCTGCTGCCTCTTTGGTCTAAAATGTCTCCTCCAGGTCAGACACCTGTATGATTAGTGACCTTACTTCTTCAAGTGGTTACGTGAAATTCATCCTTATCTTTGTGACCTTGAGATAAACTAAAATTTCTTAAAACAGGACACCATTAAGAGAGCTGAAAAGGCAAGCCAGCAAGTGGAAGAACAGATGTGCAATACACATATACAATGGAGAACTCATCTAGAATATATTTTTAAAATTTCTATAAATCAATAATGAATGTGGTATTTAGTCATTTTATTTATTGACATATAATTTGCATATGGTGAAATTCACTCTTTTTAGTGTACAGTTTTTCTGTGGGTTTCCACAAATGTATATGGTCATTTAACCACAACACAATGAAAATACAGAACATTTCCATCACACCAAAAAGTGGTTCAAAATGGCCAATAAATATGAAAAGGTGCTTAAATGCATTAGTCTTCCACAATGGAACATCTCTACACAACTACCGGAACAGCTAAAGTTAAATGGCAGGAGATGCCAAATCTTGACATGTCTGTGGAGCTCTCACATGCCATTAATAGGTATACAAATCAATATAATCACTTTAGAAAACTGTTTATCAGTATCTACCAAAGTGAATGTACACATATCCTATAACCTGGCAATTCCACTTCTAATTATATCCCCTGTAGATGGCATCACTAAAAAGAAATATACAAGCATGTTTGCTGCAGGGCTACTCATTAGCTAGAGACAGAAGACAGTAAACTGTGGTATCATGATACAATTTAATACTCTACAGCAACAAAAATGAATAAACTACAAATACTTGTAAGAGCATAGATGGATCTCACCAAATCAATGTTGGTAAAAGAAGCCAGAAACAAAAGAATATATTATACATTATGACATTAATATAAAGCTCACAAACCAGCAACAGTAACCTATGGTGTGAGTCCTCAGGAAGCAAGGCTTCAACTAGGAGGGGGGGTAACCAGACCTCCTAAGGGGCAGTTAAAATTCTGTTTCTTAATTTGAGTGCTGATTACACAAGTGTATTCACTTCGCAGAAATTCAACCCTCCCAGCTACTCAGGAGGCTGAGGTGGGAGGATCACCTGAGCCCAGGGAGGCTGCAGTGAGCCATGATCACAACACTGCACTCCAACCTGGGTAACAGAGTGAGACTGTCTCAAAAAGAAAAAGACAGAAAATTCATCCCATGGTACATTTGTGCTTTCTGCACTTTTCTGTATTTGTTACACTACAATATAAAGTATGTTTTTAAAAAAATCACCTTTTCAATGAGGCCTTCTCTGGCCACTCTAATATTTCCACCAGTCTCACTGTTTATCATACTCCTTTTCTACTTATTTTTCCTCTGGCACACTTGTTAATACCTAGCACACTATCTCACATACTAGATATATTTTACAAACTTATGTTGTTTACTGTCTGGCTCCATCCACTAACCTGTGAGTTCCATGAACACAGATATTTTGTCCAGTTGGCTGAGTACAGAGTCCCCAGTAGCTAGAATAACACCTGGAAGATAGTAGGCACTCAATATAGATTTAATTAATCTATTAATTATACAGCATTGCCCAATTTAATTGTTTAATTATGTTTGTGGATTCAAGCCATAAATTCTTACAGTTGTCTTGTTATATTTAAACAATAAGTTGGTTGTTGTTCTGTCTGAATAACGCTTCTCAACATGGTTTTGAGACTTCTCATCTTCCAAGTTCCAGATCAGGTTCTGATCAGTTTATGGTAATAATAAACCGTATTAGGAAACCATACAGGAAACTCTTACACTCTGAATTCTATTTACACCTAATTTTATAAATGAAAGCTAAGGCTGCATTAACCTTTCTCTCAGTCATATCCACCCTACTGACTCATACTGAGTTTAGAAGCAAATAAAAGTAACAAAGGGATTTAATTCCATTTTTTTCCTTCACATAAACATAAATCATGAAATATTCCCAACCTATCATGGTACCTTTAGTGTTGAGTCCTAAATGTAGAAATTTTCAACTATCTCCATGTATTCCAAGTTTTGGCTAGCCATTTCAACAGCTTTCTTTTAAACCTGTGGTTCTCAACTTTTTTCCATCACTGCACCCCTAAAGAGACTTTTTAGGCATTTTTTCTTAATCACCCTCTCCCATGAAATTTTAGTATCACAGAAAAACTATTTATCTGTTTATGTAATTATACTGTACTTGCAACCTAAAGAGTAGCATTTCTGCCCCCACAACCCCTACAACCAATTTCACCTCTTTGAAATTTTATAAAGGCATATTTTAAACTTGAAAAGTAATTTGTCAACTACCTTACCTTTCTAACTTCACATATAAATTTGTTAACAATAAAACTATTTCACAGATCAAAGTTGTAACCCACAGAAATCAAATACAGAGCGCAACAGCACAGGACAAAATGCTTCTCTTCCAGCTTGTGCAGATCCATCAAATCTACTATTCAACAAGCTACAAATCCACCTAATACCCATATCACATTTTCCCATCTTGTTCATAAGGACAGCCTTTTGTTAAACTAAATATTCCGTTGAAATCAAAAGACAGCATTCCCCTAACTAATAACCTATTTAAACTTTTCAGAATCTATCTTTAAAGGAAAACAAGATTAGCACAGAATGACTTATTTTAGTCTCTCCTAAGTCCCTCTGGGGGACTTAGGACCACTGCAATCCCTAACTTCACTCTTGTAAGAGTTTCCTATGTCCCCGGACCCAGATCAGTACATTTTCCACATTATGAGCAAACTTTTTCAATGCAAATCTGATCATTCTGCTCCCTGGATATTTAAAATCTTTCCAGGGCTCCCCTAGGCGTATAAAAGCCCCAAGTCCTTAGCATAATAGGCAAAACCTCACTAGGTTTTGCCAATCGGTGGCAATCAGTGGCCAATCGGGTAAGGCCAATCAGTGGCAATACCTCCCACTTTTTTTTGTTTTGTCTTGAGAAAGAGTCTTGCTCTGTCGCCCAGGCTGGAATGCAGTGGTGCGATCTCGGCTCACTACAACCTCCACCTCCTGGGTTCAAGCAATTCTCCTGCCTCAGCCACCCGAGTAGCTGGGATTACAGGCACATACCACCATGACCAGCTAATTGTGTGTGTGTGTGTGTGTGTGTGTGTGTGTTTAGTAGAGACGGGGTTTCACCACATTAACCAGGCGCGGTGGCTCACGCCTATAATCCCAGCACTTTAGGAGGCCAAGGCAGGCAGATCACGAGGTCTGTGATCACGAATAGGAGTTCGAGACCTCCCACTTCTAAAAAGTTTTTTCATAATCACTTTACTCCATCTAGCAGAAATGCTCTTATAACCAAGCCTCAGCACCTGCCTGCCCTCCCCACCCTACTCTATTTTCCCTTAGTCTCTTCAGATTTTAGAAGCAGTATCACCTCTTCAAAAGATGTCCTATTCTCCACATCCTCCCCAGTGTCACAAGAGCACTCCTTAACCAGGTTCCTAGGCACTCTGCCTATATTTGGGGATTACTTACTAATGCGTCTGCTTCCCCCACTCTTGGGCCATCAAAAAATATGTGCAAGGAAATGCACTAAGGATACTAGCTACAAGCTGACCTCCTAAATTCAGAACTTGACATTCACCTTTGTTCCTCCGGCAGCAGGAGTACCAGGAACCCACAGGAATTAGAAACCCAGTGAATGTTTTTTGTAATATTGAAACCATCCTGGCTCCTGGTAACCACTACCTTTTTCTCTCATGCTATCAAATCACCTGTTTAAACCTATACTAAAATTCTGTCAGAAAGTCACATGAAACTTTTTCTAGTTTCCTTTCTCTAGGAAAAAAAAATCTATTTCCTTTCTTTAGGGAAAACAAATGAAAACACTGACGTAAACCTTCAGATTTCAGGAGTGTCAGGGCTCAGAATACATTACCCCCAAAGGATTCTGAACTGAAGGAAACTGGAGGGGGCCCAGAAACAAGGTCACTTCCCCTGCCTTCTATGTGAAGCATGGTCATAAAGGAATTCTCCGACCCATCTTACCTGAAAATAGATCATAAGACCCTTATTCCAGAAGGGTTCTGCCCCACACCCAGCAGAAAAGTAATGCTCAACACAGAGAGGCTGAGAAGAATCTGGACAGGCCTTGCTGGGTTCCCCTCTCAGTTTATTACCATTAGATCATTCCCTTTTTGTGCAATCACATTACTACATGGCCATGATTCTCCATCAAATGTAAGCATAGAAAGTTTTCCTTGGGTCTTTGAGTCTTCATTTCTGAAAGCTCCCACGTCATATATAACTTTGTTAAACAAATCTGTGATATTTTCTTTCTTGCTAACCTGTCTTTTGCTAACAGTAGTACTGACCACAACCCTTGCGGTGGATGAGGAAAAGGTATCATCTTTTTGCCCCTGTAAGAGCTTCTCTCACCTTATCAGTTCTCGAAGTTTCCCAACTGCGGTTCCTCAAATTAATGGTAGAGTTTTCAGTATCCTGGGGAAGAATCCATTTCAGCCTGGAGATTCTTATTTATTTTAAGTGAGTAAGAACTTGTTTGCTTTACTCTCATCTTTCATATTCTACCCTTCTCTGTCTGAAAAATACTTTCCTACCATAAAAGATACTAAGAAAAAGGAGTGAATTACTCTGAAATCCCTTTTGTTAAAATTAAACAGTGGGTTTAGCCTCTTTTTAGTTATCACTTTGTTTTAAAGCTTAAAAACTAATTTGCATACACTTTAATAAAGCGGAACACAGATACACTTTATGACACAGCAAGTCCACTCTTAGACATACATCTAATGGGAAGGCATGCCCCATGTGCACCTCAACATGCATGCAAGAAAGGGCCTAATGACCAGAAGTTGAAAACTGAAACTCAAACATCCATCAAAAGAAGACAGTATAAAGAGTTGGATATTGATACAACGGAAAACTATTGACTAAAGAAAATGAACTACAGGAAATACATGGATAAATTTTACATGTTAGGCAAGATAAACCAGGTACAAAAGAAAACATGCTGTAAAATCCCATTTCTACAAATTTCAAAAAATATATAAAAACTAATCAATGGTGACAGAAATCAAAAGAGCTGTTATCTTTGGGGTGCAGGAGGGCTAATGATTGCAAAGGTGCAGAAGATGGCTTTTGTGGGGGCTGGTAATAGTCTCTGTGTTGACCCTGCATGGTGGTTACATGTGTGTATGCATTTTGTGATCATTTATCAAGCTGTACCTTTACAGTTTGCATACTTGATGTGGATTATACTTCCAAAAATTTTTTTAAATCACTGTGGTAATTTCAAATTTTTTTCCTGCAAGCCACAGGTCACCCTAGGTATACTCTGTCTAAAATATTTGTAGCAGTTCGGCCTATTCTTTTGTTTTCATGCTTACTACATGCCCTTTTCTCTTTTGTATTCCACTTAAAGTCTGGCCTCCTGAATAGAAAGACAACCCACAGAGTGAAACATTTTGCAAATCTAATAAAAGATCTGTATCTAAAATACATAAGGAATATTTACAACTCAACAAAAAAAGACAAAAACCTTAACTTTAAAATGGGCAAAAAATGTAAACAGACATTTCTCCAAAGATCTACAAATGGCCAGCAAACACATAAAAAGATGCTCACCATCATTAGTCATTAAGGAAATAAAAGTCATTCACACCTATTATGACAGCAAAAATAAAAAGAAAAGCCATACAGTAACAAGTGTTGGCAAAGATGTGGAGAAACTGGGACCTTAATACACTGCTCGTGGAAATGGAAAATGGTACAGCCACTTTGGAAAACAGTCCGGCAGTTCCTCAAAAGCCCGGATTGTTTAGAGTTACTAAGCATAGAGTTACTATATAAGTCAACAATTCAACTCCTAGGTATATATCCAAGAAAAAATGGAAACATATGTGCACGTTAAAACTTACACCTGCAAAGCAACATTATTCTTAATAGCCAAAAAGTAGAAAAACCCAAGTGTCCATCAACTGATGAACAGAAAAAAACAAAATGTTATTAGAATAGAATATTACTTGACAAGACAAAGAAATAAAGTATGATATATGCTACAACATGTACAAACCCTGAAAACATTATTAGAAGCCAGTCACAAAATACTACATTTTGTTTGGGCATGGTGGCTCATGTCTGTAACCCCAGTACTTTGGGAGACCGAGGCAGGTGGATCACTTGAGGTCAGGAGTTCAAGACCAGCCTGGCCAACGCGGTGATACCCCATCTCTACTAAAAATACGAAAAAAAAAAAAATTACCCAGACGTAGTGGCGTGTGCCTGTAATCCCAACTACTCGGGGGGCTGAGACAGGAGAATCGCCTGAACCTGGAAGGCAGAGGCTGCAGTGAGCCGAGATCACACCACTGCACTCCAGCCTGGGCAACAGAGCAAGACTGTCTCAAAAAAAAAAAAAAGACTACATATTGCTTAAATTTACATGAAACATCCAGAACAGACAAATCAATAGAGACCGAAAGTAGGTTAGTGGTTGCTTAGGGCTAGGGAGATAGAAAGATAGGCAGGAGGGTGATAACTAACGTGCATGAAATTTATTTTTGAGGTAATGAAAATGTTCTAAAATTGTTGTGATGGTTACACACAGCTGTGAATACATTAAAAGCCACTAAATTGTACACTTTAAATGGGCTAACTGTATAATGTGTGAATTATATCTCAATAATCTTTTTTAAAATCTGGCTTCTTTTCCAATGACCCTGAACACTTTGTTGACTTCTTTAGAAGCCATCCCCGCTTTTGCTTACCATCATGACTTGCAATCATACAATCACAATTTTTGTTTCTTGGCGCTCCCCACACATCTCGATGAAACCATACTCTCTTCTACAGTTCTGCTGGCCTTGGAGGTAATACCATCTTTGCTCTGAGCTTCATGAGACACCTTTCTAAAAATCTCATGTGCAAGAGGGTCTTGCACAACTTCCATCAGGATGAAACCCCAGAATAAAATAGCCAGTTTCACCCAAAGTTCTCAGCATGAATTAACTAGTCAAATTTCCACCTCTACCTTCTAAAAATGAAATTATCAGTAAGTCTAAGACTTATCAGATGTCTCCAGTTACAGGGTTGAGATTTCCACACATATAGTTTAAACACACCATTTATAAACTACCTTGTCTCTGTGTCAGGTTAAAAATTATACAAATTTGACTGGGTGCGGTGGCTCACACCTATAATCCCAGCACTTTGGGAAGCCGAGGCAGGCAGATCATGAGGTCAAGAGATCAAGTCCATCCTGGCCAACATGGTGAAACCCCATCTCTACTAAGAATACAAAAATTAGCTGGGCGTGGTGGCAAGCGCATGTAGTCCCAGCTACTCGGGAGGCTGAGACAGGAGAATTGCTTGAATCCGGGAAGCGGAGGCTGCAGTGAGCGAAGATCGTGCCACTGCACTCCAGCCTGGCAACAGAGACTCCATCTCAAAAAATAATAATAATAAATTATACAAATTTATTCAGGGATGCATATAAGAGTAAGCTCTGGGTGCCAGGCGCAGTGGCTCACGCCTGTAATCCCAACACTTTAGGAGGCCGAGGCAGGCGGATCACGAGGTCAGGAGGTGGAGACCATCCTGGCTAACACGGTGAAACCCCGTCTCTACTAAAAATACAAAAAAATTAGCCGGGAGTGATGGCGGGCGCCTGTAGTCCCAGCCACTCAGGAGTCAAGAGAATGGCATGAACTCGGGAGGCAGAGCTTGCAGTGAGCCAAGATCGCGCCACTGCACTCCAGCCTGGGCGACAGAGCGAGACTCCATCTCAAAAAAAAAAAAAAAAGAGTAAGCTGTGGGAAAAATCAAGTTGCAAAGACATAGTCCTGGCCTTCAAGGTCTAATGAAGCAAATACAGAAAAATAATTTTAATATGCTTTGGCAAAGCTCCCCCAGCTTCCCTCTAACTTGGCACTTAAAACTGAGCTGTAACTTTCTGTTACTTGTCTATCAACTTGGCTTAATCCTACAGAGGTGAGGACATCCTTTGAATCCCAAAGGACTGGCACAGTGCACTGCATATAGGAAAGCGTCAACAACTGTCTGATGACTGAATAAGTGCATGAAAGAGCATGAGTATGCACGGAGAACCAAATATCTTCCACATAGTACCCGTCTCCCACACAGTGCCCTCTTAACCTCTGCTCCATTACAATCCCAGTCACACATGGCCATAGTACAGTCCTTACTAAGGTGGGTAGGTAGCAAACTACGCCAGGAAAATACCCAAATTGACTCCTCCTGCTCTCCTTCTCCCCCACTCCCACCTGGGCTCTTAGCCTTCCTACCCTTAGCCTTCCCCAGACACCCAGGGGAAAATGTTCAGGATGACCTTTCAAAGAAAACTACTGATGAGATGGAATTTTCCTGTGCAGTGCAGATGACATTTATTTTACAAATCCAAGAATCCACCATGATAATTCAAATGAAATATATCTTTCCATTAAGGTCCTTCAAAATCCAAGAGAAAGACACTAGAAAAAATTGAAAAGTTGGCATGCCAGGCACAGTGGCTCACGACACCTCCTAGCAGTTTGGGAGACTGAAGCTGGCGGATCACTTGAGCTCAGCAGTTGGAGAGCAGCCTGTGTAACGTGGCAAAACCCCGTCCGTCTCTACCAAAAAATACAAAAAATTAGCTGGGCATAGTGGCGCACACCTACAGTCCCAGCAACTCAGGAAGCTGAAGTGAGAGGATCACTTGAGCCCAGGAGGCAGCGGTTGCAGTGAGCCAAGATTACACCACAGCATTCCAGCCTGGGCAACAGACTGAGACCCCATCTCTCTCGATAGACAGACAGACAGACAGACAGATAGAGAAATTTTTAAAAACCTGAAAAGTTGGGAGGGCTTGTAAGAAGCCCTGGGTCCAACATCTATTGGACATCTACTATATGTCAGGCACTGGGCCTGCTGCCTTACAAGTGACATACTAAAAGCTCTCACTCATTGATCCTAAATCTAAACTGTGGGAAGGGTGCTATATACATTGTCTCATTTCATCTTTATAATAACCTTGAGTTAAGCATCATCATCTTTTCCTTTTAAAAATTAAGAAAGAGGTTGAGGAATTGTCTGAGATCACTGTGGTAGGGCGGAACCCAGGTCTCTGGTTCCAAAGCCTGCATGTGCCCCTACCACTTAATATGAAACACTATGACTGTAAACAAGCAATTAAATCCAATTCCTAAATCTGAACTACAAAAATGAGGGAAATACTTCCTTCAAATGTTTGCTATGAACATTAAATGAAACACTGACTTCAAAAAAAGTGCTAGTACCTAAGAGACCCTTCAAAAAAAATGTTTTTTCCTTGCTTCTCCTATTATAAATTCTCCAAACCTTAAACCGTGGACACGCAGTGGACACTGCAATCTAAAAATCATCTCGCATATTCTGTCCTAGAGGGAAGACTCCATTTACTCATCTAGCATAGATTAGTATCTGAGAAAAGCATCTGGAATGCCAATTACCACCTCATCAAGTTTTAGAACACAACACACTTGTAACTTGGAAATCTAAGGTAAACACTGTTCTTGGTTTTGTTCCCTGATACTTTCTTCCTGAGAACTCCCAGACATCCCTTCCCCAAGATGCTGCTTCCACAGCATGGTCCCCCACAACAGCAGAAACATTTCTGGGGGCCTTTTTTTCCTTTCCCTCATCAAATTTCACCTTAAAGCCTTTTACTGGACAGAGCTCTGTTCTGCTTGTTTTTAGAAGCCATTTTTTAAAGACAAGAAACATGAAAGTAGTAACAGTGGTTATTCTTGGGTGGCAGAATGATGGATGACATTTTTCTTCCTCATACTTTCCTGTATTTTCCAAATTTTCCACGAAGTCTTATATACTGCTTCCATAATACAAAGAGGAAAATATCAAAGACGGTACATTTAAATTATTTCCTTCATCTCCTGATAAGATATTTTTCTCTATTCTTCCTGAATTCCCAACTAGCTGGAAGCATCCTGAGAACAGAACTGCAGTGTTATCTACGAAATACATAGCTCATCCACAGCCAGCGCCTGACATGAAACAGCTCAAAAAGTATTTGCTGAGTGGATGATGAATATTAGGTAATATTTAGAAACGGACTTTGTGGATTGATGGTGGGTGGACCAAGGTTTGAGGGTGGCATGTCCTCAATACTGTTGGATTATTGTGGTTATAGGACATTATTTAAAAGGTAGCTTTCAAACACTCTTAAGCAGGTCAACATGAAAAGTCTGTAACGTGAAGTCAAGGTGAACCAATCAAGGTGATTTATTGTTGCAATGGTAAACCAAGAACAGGATGATAAATAGGCTAAGGTCCTTGCACATCTTGCTATAAATGAGTGCACCAGGAGTGGAATTCATTAAATAATTTTGGAGCTCTCTGCCATTTAGAAGGCACATCGTGGCCTTCTTTGGCCACGAAAGTTTAACAATCCTTTTTAAAATTAATCTTCGTTCTTAGGAGATTAAATAAAACTAAATATTAAAGCAAACGAGAGATTAAGATAAAACCACCCAACCTAGTTATTATACCACCAAAAATCCTTATCTAATAAACCAAAGCAAAAATCTTGAGGATTTATAAACATGAAAGAGAAATCTCAAATATTTGGTTTGGAGAAATGAGCTGTACGTAAGGTTTAAAGTGGGTATACTGGATTCAAAAAACATACACAGTCCAAAACTCAATAGAAAAGTTCAGGTATAAAAAAAGTACTCCTTTCCCATCATAATCTAAGTTAACTACAAGAACTTTACCAGCAATTTCATTTCTGTCTGATCAACTGAACATGCTTCCTAGATGAATACTTGGAAAAGCCAAGACTGAACTTACACTTGTATTTTCGGTATTTTCAATTAACTTCACTTCCATCAACATCTCTTTAAAAATCTGTATATTTCTAGGGGACTCTTATACACTGTTGGTGGGAATGTATATTAGTTCAGCCACTGTGGAAAGCAGTTTGGAGATTTCTCAAAGAGCTTAAAACAGAGCTACATTCAACCCAGCAATCCCACTACTAGGTATATACCCAAAGGAAAACAGGCCAGGTACGGTGGCTCACATCTCTAATCCCAGCACTTTGGGGGACAAAAAATGGCCCCCAAAAATGCAGGTGGATCATTTGAATCCAGGAATTTGAGACCAGCCTGGGCAACAAGGCAAAACCCCATCTCTACAAAAAATATAAAAATTAGCCAGGTATGGTGGGGCACAACAACAGTTCTAGCTACTCGGGAGGCTGAAATGGGAGAATCACTTTAACCCAGGAGGCAGAGGTTGCAGTAAGCAGAGATGATACCACTGCACTCCAGCCTGGGCAACAAAGTGAGACCCTGTCTCCAAAAAAAAAGAAGAGAAGAGCAAGTCATTCTACTGAAAAGACACATACACTCACACGTTCCTCACAACACTATTCACAACAGCAAAGACATGGAATCAAAGGAGGTGTTCATCAACAGTGGGTTGGATAAAGAAAATATGGTACATATACACCACAGAACACTATGCAGCCACAAAAAAAGAGTAAAATCATGTCCTGTGCATCAACATGGATACAGCTGGAGGCCGTTATTCTAAGCAAATTAAAGCAGGAAAAGAAAAAGCAAATACCACATGTTCTCACTTATAATTGGGAGCTAAACGCTGGGTACTCACGGACATAAGAATGGCAATAATAGACACTGGAACTACTAGAGAGGGGAGAGAGAGAGGGAGGGATGAGTTGAAAAACTAACTGTTGGGTACGATGCTCAGTACCTGCATAACGAGATTATTAGAAGCCCAAACCTCAGCATCACACAACATACCCACGTAACAAACCTGCACCTGTACCACTGAATCTAAAACAAAAGTTGGGGAGAAAAAAATCTGTATATTTCTAATATGCCTCCAGCCTCTTAAAAGACATGTATTTCAAAACAAAGCAGATGCTGACTTGATGACAGCCCGATAATTTTAGGGCAATAGGCAGAAGTCAAGGACAAGATGACAATTGCACAATCCATGCTGCAAGATGAAAAAGAAAGCATTTCACCCCAAAAAATAAATGTCTCAAGCTTCCTGTCTTGCTCAAGTTGGGAAGTAACGTGAAGATGTTCTTACTAGAAAAAACTCTGTGGTTATTACAAACTTAGTGAAGATTTACATTTATTTCACCTAACTATATATATTCACATTTCACCTAGCTATTCATATTAAAAGCATCTGCAATCCCGGGCCTTGGACTTCCCTCGGCAGGTGTCAGCCCACTGTGGAAGTTGCTCCCCACATCTCAGTAAGTTCTGTTGGCCAGAAAGGACATTCAATGACAAGCACTACTTTAAATACACTATCCATGACTTTTCTCTAGGTGTCAGAGATACTAGTACATCTTCACCTCCTGAAAGTTCACTTATATACCACTTAACTTTTATTTCTTTTTTTGAGACGGAGTCTCGCTCTGTTGTCCAGGCTGGAGTGCAGTGGTGCAACCACAGCTCACTGCAGCCTCTGCCTCCCGGGTTCAAGCAAGTCTCCTGCCTCAGCCTCCTGAAAAGCTGGGACTACAGGCATGCACCACCATGCCTGGCTAATTTTTTGTATTTTTTTAGTAGAGATGGGGTTTCGCCACGTTGGCCAGGATGGTAACTCCTGACCTCAGGTAACATCAAATTTTTCTCAGTAAAGCCTACAATAGGAAGAAATGAGGGAAAGAAAAAGAAATGGTATTAACTCTTATGCAAACCACGCCTGAGTCTCCTCAGGTAAACAGGAGAGCATCAGAAAGTTAGGGGAGCATCGGAAAACTAGGGGAGCATCGGAAAGCTAGGGAAGCAACTGAAAGCTAGACAAGTTATTTAGCCTTTCTCAGTTTCCTTACATCTGTTAAATGTTGATAATACCTATTTTTCAGGAATTTCATGAGGATAAAATGAGATGGAATAAGTAAAGAACCTAACACAGAATGAATTCACTGGTGTTGTTCAGCAAAAGATATTTATGGTCATTACTAACTGGGCACTAGGGCCGACACCGTGACAGGCCAAAGTCCTACAACAGATAAGAAAAAGAAACCACCAAATGGGTCACACACCAACTCTGTGAAATCCAGATCATTGTTAAAGATACGAAAAAAAAAACAGTCCCTGACTTTCCATTTGGGCACAACATGAATGAATAATAAACCATATACCATGCTTAAAACTATAGTAGCAAGATCAGCCTTTCATTGGAGAAACAGATGAAAATCTTTTATTATCAGTACAGCATAGTGTTTAAAACGAATTATAAGTTTAACAGGGTGGTGGTCATAGCTACCTATTATAAGCAGACAGGCTTTCTGGCATTCCCAACAAAATATGCTTTATGCACACAGCCAAAATATGACTGCAATTACTCTGGTCCCAACAGATGACTGCATTAGATAACGCCTCAACTCAGTAGCTGCTACAATCTATGTTAAGAGAAGCAGAAATTCTGTAACAGGAACTCAATATCCTGGCTCCCACAGAGTCCTAATGTCTATCTCACAGGCTTGTTTATAAAGATTAGCAATAATGTGACACAAAGTGCCTGACACAGTGGTTACTCAATAAATGATAGCTGACATTAATTACCAGGAAGCAACAAAATCTAAAGCCAGAACCTGCCATGAAACAAATGAAGATAGAGTGGCTCCTTCTCAACCAAGACATTAAGTTGTATGAAAACACTTGGATAGGCCTGGCACGGTGGCTCACGCCTATAATCCCAGCACTTTTACAGGCTGAGGCAGGCGGATTACCTGAGGTCCGGAGTTTAAGACCAGCCTGGCCAACATGGTGAAACCCTGTCTCTACTAAAAATACAAAAAATTAGCCGGGTGAAGTGGTGAGTGCCTGTAATCCCAGCTACTCGGGAGGCTGAGGCAGGAGAATCACTTGAACCCAGGAGGCGGAGGTTGCGGTGAGCCGAGATCATGCCACTGCACTCCAGCCTGGCCTACAGAGCGAGACTTTGTCCCAAAAAAAAAAAAAAGAAAGAAAGAAAAGTAAAGAAAACACTTAGATAAAGAACATAGTACTAAGCCCTACCACAAGGAGGGCTTGTCAGTAAACATCGGGTTAATCATCTTGCCAGTCAAGAAGGAATCCCAAAGTGCCCATTCCTCTGGGGCAAATAAAGAACCATGAAAAAAAGAGAAATGGTCTCTATCCTCAGAGAATCTATACCTACCTGAGGAGAAATCACATGGTTTCAGCTCTCTGTCTGCATTACTCCCTTGACTCTATGCTCCATGAAGGCAAAAACCAAAAACTTTATATTGCCATATAATACAGGCACTCAATAAATATCTGGTAATCTGGCCATGCACAGTGGCTCACACCTGTAATCCCAGCACTTTGGGAGGCCAAGGCAGGCAGATCACTTGAGGTTGGGAGTTCAAGACCAGCCTGGCCAACATGGTGAAACGCCATCTCTGCTAAAAATACAAAAAGAAGCCGGGTGTGGTGGTGCACACCTGTAATCCTAGCTACTCGGGAAGCTGAGGAAGGAGAATTGCTTGAACCCAGGAGGCGGAGGTTGCAGTGAGCCGAGATCACACCATTGCACTCCAGCCTAGGCAACAAAGTGAGACTCTGTCTCAAAAAATAATAATAATAAATAAAAATAAAATAAATAAAAATCTAGTAACCAAATGAGCCTCATAGGATCTCAGGACTAAAAGAGCCACCTAATTCAAAACTTTCCAAGCCTGGCTTCACAGACTGCTCAACCTAAACTCTCAAGGTGGAGGCTGAGAATCTGTGTATTTAAATGCCCCCGGATGACTGTGACACTCGAGACAGATAATCACTAGTGTAACTGAGCCCATGTGAATCATGTGAACGCCCTTTACAATGACCCTGTCCAGAAATGATCCAGCCTTATGCATTAGGGCCTCCAACGATGGGACACAGCCTATCACAACTGCAAGCACCTGGACCAGCAAAGTCCTTTCTAATGTTTACTCAAATATCTGTATTTACTCTACTCATTGGTTCTGTCCTGTGAGGCCTGAGAAGACAAAAGGTAACCTCTCCTCCTTCCACTTGATGGACTTTTGACTCCTGCGACAAAGGATGATGCCCCTCTGAGTTTTCTCCAGGCTAAACACCCTTGATGAACTATGCATTAATCATTAAGTGCTAGGCTCTTTAAGTGCGCAACACAATACAACAACATGTCAGAGAAGGGAGAAATCAGGGTGTGTTATGGTAACCAGCAAGACATCAATGAAGAAGGTGGGTCTTGAAGGATGAGAAAGACAGGGATAAAACTAGTGTTCAGGGGCTGGTGCCCAGAGGGAAAAGGGAGACAAGATACTGATAAGGAGTACCATATGCAGGGAAGGGTATAAGAGTGATAAAGCAACAAATGAGGAAATTAGTAGATTTCACATACATTTTTCTTTTTTTAAGACATGGTCTCACTCTGCTGCCCAGGCTGGAGTGCAGTGGCACTATCTCTGCTCACTGCAGCCTCGACCTCCTGGCCTCATGCGATCCTCCCATCTCAGCCTCCTGAACAGCTGGGACTACAGGCATGCATCACCATGCCTAGCTTATTTTTTGTAGAGACAGGATTTCACCATGTTGCCCAGGCTGGTCTCCAACTCCTAGGCTCAAGTGAACCATCCATCTCAGCCTCTGATACGGTTTGGCTGTGTCCCCACCCAAATCTCATCTTGAATTGTAGCTCCCATAATTCCCACGTGTCATGGGAGGGAGCCGGTGGGAGATAATTGAATCATGGATGCTGGTCTTTTCCATGCTGTTCTTGTGATAGTGAATAAGTCTCATGAGATCTGATGGTTTTATAAAGAGGAGTTCTCCAGGACATGCTCTCTTGCCTGCTGCCATGTAAGACGTAACTTTGCTACTCATCTGCCTTCTGCCATGATTGTGAGGCTTCCCCAGCCATGTGGAACTGTGAGTCCATTAAGCCTCTTTCCTTTATAAATTACCCAGTCTCAAGTATGTCTTTATTAGCAGTGTGAGAAGAGACTGATACAGCCTCCCAAAGTGCTGAGATTACAAGTGTGAACCACCGCACCTGGCCTCCATACTTTTTGAATTAAATATAACTAAAACTGAAAACGAACTGAAGATTTTTCGAAAATCAGAATAGGACGGAAGAGGACAGAGCAAAGTCCTAGCATAGGAAGGCAGAGACATAGTCTGGTAGAGGCCAAAAATGGAGAGACCAAATAGGAATGTCGTAAAAGCAAGCAGGAAAGTATGACTTTGATGTAGCAAAGTATTAGAGCCACTTGAGTTCCTCCAGGGTGGCACATGTAACTAAGTGGTCCCTTAGAAAGAATGATCAGACAAGATGGCCTGGAGAATGGGACAGCGGGAGTCAAACGGGTCAGAAAGGAGGCCTAAGCCTAGATACAGCCGCTTAGATACAGGGGTCAAGGTCCACTCTAAGACAGTGACAATAAAACTAAGAGCAAAAGCTAAAAAAATCAATTCAAAGGGAAAAAAATGATAAAGCTTGGTCACAGATCAGAGCAAAAGTAAAAGAAAGGGAAGAATCAGAAACGACTTCTAAGAGCTGCAAGAAATTCGAGGGAAAAACAGGATAATACTCTGGAAAGGTGCGGTAAAACAATTACGCAATCACATGTACTGAATGCACTGGTGGATTAGTACTAGGGTGGTTTTATTTTATGAAAGCTTCAAAGTTCACTCCCTGTTCTACAAACACACTTAGTAACTGGTCGTTTTGCTATTTTCTCTGGTCCCAGCACAGGTTGTAGTTTCTGTGTCAGCAGACAGGGAATATTTGGTTTTGAATCCTTAAATCTGTAACATTACCACCAAAGTTAAAGCGCTTGCAAAAAATGTGCTTTGACAGAGCTAGGTGAAAGAAGCCAGTCACAAAACACAAAATATTGTATGATCCCATTTATATGAAACACATAGAAGAGGCAAATCTATAAAGACAGAAAGTAGGTTAGTGGTAGCCTAGGGCTAGGGTCGGAGAGGAGGGGTGCGGCTGGAAAGAAATGGGGGGTGACTGCAAATGGGCTTGGAGTTTCTTTGCGGGGTAATGAAAATGTTCTAAAATTGTTTATAGAGATAGCTGCAGAACTGTATGAATATACTAAGAACTACTGACTTTTTAATTTAAATAGAGAATTATAACTCAATAAAGTTGTTATTTAAAAAAACTTTAGGAGTACATAAATAATTACTGCAACCTCAGACGCTCAGCATCTCTCCAATAAAAGCAACTATTGCACTTAAGTTCAAATAAATAGCCATCAGACAATTTGGAAAGCCTAAAAGATACTTTAGGAAGACTAAGACAGTCATGTTCCTTCTAGGGGGAAAAATTAAGCATGAAAAAGATACAGATTTAAACATATAGATCCCCTTTAAATTAGTTGTTACAATTGACCAAAATTTTCTAATATGTACTTAAAAAGGAAAGACAAGGTTTGAGGTTTCTCTTCAACAATTATGAACAATTATGTCAAGTAATATACTGGGTACCTATGGTTCAGTTTCTTAGAGGCTGAAACAAAATAATGTACAGTAAGCCAATTCAATGAAAAGCAAAAGACTATGTAACTTAACAATTATTAAGCGGATGGGTAAACCTATTTTATAAATCTGAAGACCTAACAAAAACCCTCATGTAGAGAGAGGTCCTTTTGCTCAAAACATATAAGAAAACTATCCAAAATAACTTCTGCCCCCATGATATCTCCTGAAAAACATGGTTCCTACCTCCCTGAGGCCTTCATTATTAAAGCGATTACCATTCTCTTTCCACTGAACACTTAGAATGCTTACTTAGATGGTATTCCAACGGTTACCATACTTACTTAGATGGCAGTCATCAAGTTATATTCACTGCATGTGTCAGGACCTTTCTAAATCAGAGGACCTGCAATGGGCGCACACTGCTGATGCCCAGTGGAACCTTGCTGACTGATAATCAAACGAGGACAGCAGTGAAGAGTGATAGTGTTTCTGTTCAAAACTGCTTGTGGATTAGAAGAACCCAAAACCACCACATCTGTTGGCTAAAGACATTTTTTTTTCTTTTGAGACACAGTCTCACTCTGTCGCCCAGGGTAGAGTGCAGTGGCACGATCTTGGCTCACTGCAAGCTCCGCCTCCTGGGTTCACACTCCATTCTCCTACCTCAGCCTGCCAAGTAGCTGGAACTACAGGCGCCCACTACCACGCCCGGCTAATTTTTTGTATTTTTGGTAGAGACGGGGTTTCTCCGTGCTAGCCAGGATGGTCTTGATCTCCTGAGCTCGTGATCCGCCCGCCTCAGCCTCCCAAAGCGCTTGGGATTACAGGCGTGAGCCACCACGCCCAGCCAAGACATTCTTAAAGGAACAATCAACTGGTAGGAAAGTATAGATTATAAAAGTACTACATTTCAAATATATAACTATTTACTACTACCTCTAATGACAGACATTTAATAAATTCAAAATGACACTGATAAAAATACAAGACTGATGCTTTCAACATGGTGGATCCTAAGCAAATTTTAATTCAATAGATTCAAATACATACTTAATGTATTTCACCTGCCTGAAAAAAAGTAAAGCAGTCAAAAAAACTAGAATATATAAGTTTTCTGAATCAAGAAACATGAAGAGCGGTCTCCCAAAATCATCTGACCTATTAGACCCTATCTGTTAATGGATTCAAGTTATGGAAAAAGCCTAAAATAAAGAATTTGAGAAAGATAAGAGCCATTTTTCTACTACAATACCCTCCCACCTAAATAAATTACTTTGGCCCAAAGCTATGTTTATTAAGAGGCAAGTCTGGTACCACACTCTCAAGTATGGTTCTACACAAAATGAAGCCCTCTGACACCCTGGAGATAACTGAAATACATACATACCAAGTTCTCCCAGAAGCTGCCCAGGAATTGCAGGAGGGATCAAAGAGAAAGCTTTCACATCTACTGGGAAAGAAACCAGGCTTTGGAGGGCATATGCTAACTTTCCACAATACAATGTGGCCTATGAGTTAAATAGTGCAAAGGAGACCACAAAGGACACAAGATGGTAGCCAGTCTACTTTCCAGAAATAATGTAAGACACAGCTTTACAAGTTTTAACTTTTTTTTTCTCATTTGATCTCAAGAATTCTGAGAAGGGCAGACACTCTCCCCATTTCACAGATGAGAAAACTAAAGCTCATGAAGACTGACAGACCTGCCCAGCTGCCTACCTGACTGCTCCACTTGGCAAGTCAACTTGCATCTCATACCCAACATGCACAGATCAACTCTTAATACCACACCCAAACTTGCTCCTCTAGGCATCTCCATTTCAATAAATGGCATCCCCATTATTCCAGCTGCTCAGGCTAAACACCTCGGTGTCATCCTTGAGTATACTCTTTGTCACACTCCACATCATCTCACCCACCAGTGAATCATTTTAGCCCCATTTGAGATATATCCAGAAACCACTCACTTCTCATCACCTCCACAGCTGCTATCATATCTCACCTATAGAGCATTGCTAGAAACCTCTAACATCCCCCTATTTCCACCTTTGCACTCCTCCCCATTCTATTCCCCTACACAACAGAGTGTCACTCTTTAAAGATGTCAGACCAAAACCCTTTGTACAAAACCCTCCAGTGGCTTCCCATCTCACTCAGAGTTGTTTATTGATGTATCCCTAGGATGAGAACGTATCTGCCACCTACAAAATGCATAATGATACTGCTGATTAGTAAATGAAAGACAGCCAAAGTCACACAACTAGTATGTAGTAAAGCCAGGACTAGAACAAATCTTCCACTGTTCTTTGGTAACACTGAAACCAGATTTACGAAAAGCAACAATCGACATGGGAGGAAATTCTTACATTTTACTTTGCATAACTGAATCTTTTCATGTATAGTCAATACTATGTTGAATTTCCAACAAGTTAAAATGAAAATATCACTTTATAAAGCCATGAAATCTCACACTAGGAACTCTGAATATTACTTTTTTGGCAGCATGAGCAAATACCTGCTTAATTATCACAGTAATGGCACTCAGATCTTCAGTGTGACTGTTCTGCATTCAGTGACATGATGTTACCATTATCCCAAGACGACTACACATAAAAGATGACCATAGTCTAAAAGATTCAGAACCAAGCACCTAGAAGAGGTAACAAGCATTTCCAAATCTCCTACACACACATTATACCAATCATCTGAAACAGGCATTAAGTTTCCAGGGTGCTACCTGTAACAACAGAAAGGTTAGATTCAGAACTGTCTACTACCAAAATTAAAAAGAAAAACTCTGAGCTGAGTTTAAATGTTGATTGGTTTCAGCTCAGAATGAACTAACACTAAAATTATCCACCATTATAGAATTTTCTCACTAAAATATTTTAGAGTTAAAAACAAATACTCTAAATTTCTTTCTTCAGTTCTTTCAAAAATATTTCTACTATCTATAAAAAGGCCTAAATCTTACTAAATCATAGTAATAAATTTATAGAATTTTTACAGTAGGTCTTAAAGAAAACTGAATTCAACCCTCAATTTTCTCCCTTTTACAAGGATTATTTGATACATAACAGGTAAACAATGAAGACTTATTAAGTGAATGAAGAAATGAATGAATGAATGAAGATGCAGAAGGGTTATATGACTCTTCAAAGCTCCAGCAATCAATATCAAACCCAGGACTAGTCATAACTAGCTTTCCAGATTCTTTTGGGGTGGGTGTGGGAGTAGAAGAAACCAAGATTTAAAAACCCTATCTGGGTCCTCAGGAAAATCTTAACCAAAAGGCATTACAGCCAGTTTCCTTTGGTACTCTTTCTTAGAAAAGCACTTGATAAAATAAATTTTGCCAAGATATATCTCCTTGGAAACCAAAATGCAGTTGACTGTTTATTTCTCTCTATATATATAAATAATATTTAATATAGGACCATAAACAACTGCAATTGTTTTTGCACCAAAACAGGTGGCCTTTGACTAAAAGAAAAATCCAACTAGAGGAGAGGAACAGAACATTGACAAGGGCCACATAAGTCACTAGAAGAGTATCAGCTATACAAGGACAGGAACCATGTATCCTGTTTACCAGCAGCAGCCACCAGTCCCTGGCATATAATGGGATTCAATAAACACTTACAGGAAAAGTGAATAAATTACTCCTTAGAGACCCACCTATGCAAACAAAAATTCATATGGTCACCATTCAAATACCTTGCAGATACAAATTCATTTGGTCACTAATAAACAAATCTTTATGGTAGGCCTACTACATACAAGCATACTACATTATTCCTCCATGGAAATTCTACCAAATGTCCCTTCAAATAATATACTCAACCAAAATTATCCCCATCATTGTATTAAGATGATGAGAAAATATTTCTTAAGTAGCCGAAATTTGTTCCTATAGCAGCCACTAAATTTGCTGTTCTGGCTTCAATCTTTTGCCTTCAATTCATCCTGTACAACCCAGCCAGATCAGTTTTCTGTTTTTTTGTTTTTGTTTTTGTTTTCATTTTTTAACACATCCAAAATATAAAACAGTGCTGTGGTTAAGTATTCTACCTTCATATGGGGCCCACTGCTATTCAACAAGCAGATACAGGAAATCTGAAACTACTGGCTTGGAAAAGGAAAGACAACACAGCATCAAGGAAAAAATTACCACAAGTGACAGTTCTTATAATAATTTCTCTAAATCACTGTGATGCAACTGACACAGAGTGTTGGGTATGAATACCCACTAAGGTACACATCTGACTGTTGTGATAATTCAAGATTCATTGCCTTTTTGAAGCTTTCCCAAGCCACTGGACTCTGTATGTGTGAAAGTACTTTGCAAACCGGAAGTGCTAGACACACAGCTTTTACTATGCTCCTTGCCAATTGGTAGCCTCATACGTTCTGCCATTAAAATCATCTTACCTCATTCTCTAAGTGTGTCTCGATCCTTCAAAAACAGGAAAAATTCTTTGAATTGTTTAATGTCACTTCTTTATTATTCAATATCTAGAACAGCATAACTTAAAAGTGCCATTTATACTTCCCGATTTCAGAACATATTACCAATCAAAACAGTGTGATAATGGCATAAAAACAGACAAAGAGACCAATAGAATAGAATAGACAGCCCAGAAATAAACCCACATATATAGTCAAATGATTTCTGGCAAGGGTGCCAAGACCACTCAATAAGGAAAGGACAGTCTTCTCAACAAATGGTGTTGGAAAAAATAAGATACCCACATGCAAATGAATAAAAGTTGGACCCTTATACTATACATAAAAATGAACCCAAAATGGACTAAAGACCTAAATGTAAGACCTAAATTATAAAACTTCCAGAAGAAAATATAAAGAAAAAGCTTCATTACTTTGGACTTGGCAGTTACTTCTTAGATACGGCCAAAAGCAAAATTAGCCAAGTGGGACTGCATCAAACTAAAAAATTTTTGTGCATCAAAGGATACAATCAGCAGAGCAAAAAAGCAACCTGGAGTGGAAAAAATATTTGCAAATAATCTATCTCATAAGGTGTTAATATCTAGAATATGGAGTGAAGCCTGAGGTCGTCAGGGACAGCCCACTGGGCCTTGCCCGAGATAGACAGCCAGATTCCTTATGATGACTACCCGGTGGTTTTCCTGCCTGCCTATGAGAATCCTCCAGGATGGATTCCTCCTCATGAGAGGGTACCCCACCCAGACTACAACAATGAGTTGACCCAGTTTCCGCCCCAAACCATCACACTGAAGAAGCCTCCTGAAGCTCAGTTGGGATTTAACATCTGAGGAGGAAAGGCCTCCCAGCTAGGCATCTTCATCTCCAAGGTGATTCCTGACTCTGATGCACATAGAGCAGGACTTCAGGAAGGGGACCAAGTTCTAGCTGTGAATGATGTGGATTTCCAAGATATTGAGCACAGCAAGGCTGCTGAGATCCTGAAGACAGCTCGTGAAATCAGCATGCATGTCCGCTTCTTTCCCTACAATTTTCATCGCCAAAAAGAGAGGACTGTGCACTAGAGAGTTACAGCCCACAGCCCTTCATGTGGACTCTCCCACAACATGCTAACTAGACTTCAGGGGAGCCACTTCTACTTTCAGCCCCTCCCTGGAATAGTGGAGTTGGGAGGATGGGGAGACAGCTAACCAACTTCATTACCCAAACTGTATTGCACTTTTAGTTCCCTAGTTTTCTAGGCGAGCTTCATTTGGAGAAGGATGATGATATCTAGGCATAACCTAGCCCATGAGGAACCTAGTTAGGAAAGACAACTGACATTTATTGAATTCCATGTACTAGTCCTTTCCACCTGTCATATTTTAATTATAGAAATCAGTCGCCAAAAGAATCTTGGGGATTTTCTATCTGACTGGCCTGGCCATCTCATCCCATCCTTGTATTGCCAGAGGTTGCATACACTTTGGAGACTCCAATGAGAACCTGTTTTCACCCCTTCCTCCTCCTAGCCTCTCCCCAAAAAAGTAAAACACAATGCTGAAGGAAAAAAATATATACCCAGAATATATAAAGAACTCCTACAACTCAACAACAAAAATCAAATAACCCAATTTAAAAATGGGCAGAAGGCTTGAACAGACATATATGCAGAGATAATATACAAATGGCCAACGAGAATATGAAAATACAATCAACTTCATCAATCATCAGAGAAACATATATCAAAATCATAATGAGATACTACCTTGCATCCATTAAGATGGTTCCTATTTAAATTGTTTTTTTAATTAGCTCTGGGTGTGGTGGTGTACACCATTAGTCCCAGCTACTCGGGAGGCTGAGGCAGGAGGATTGCTTGAGCCCGGGAGGTGGACGTTGCAGTGAGCTGAGATGGCACCACTGCACCCCAACCTGAGTGGCAGAGGGAGACCCTGTCTCGAAAAATTTTTTATTAATTAATTTGAAAAAAAAAAAAACAGAAAATAAGTATTGGTAAGGATGTGGAGAAGTTAGAACCCTTATGAACTGTTGATGAGATTGTAAAATGGTACAACTACGAAAAACAGTATGGAGGTTCCTCAAAAAATTAAAAATAAAACTATCATATGATCCAGCAATCCCGCTTCTGGGTATATACACAAAATAATTAAAAGCAGGATCTTGAAGAGATATCTGCACACCCACGTTCATAGCAACAATCACAACTGCCAAATATCTATCCACAGATAAATGGATAAACAAAATGTGGTATACCCATACGACGGAATACTATTAAACCTTTAAAAAGATAGAAATCCTGTCACATGCTACAAACATTGATGAACCTTGAGGATTTTATGCTAAGTCAAATAATTCAGACACAGACAAATACTACATGATTCCACTTATATGAGGTTACCTAAAGTAGCCAGATTCATAGAAACAGAAAGAATGATGGTTGCCAGAGTCTGTGGGAGGTGGAAATGGGGGCCAATGTTTAATGCTTACAGAGTTTCAGATTCGCAAGATGAAAAAGTCCTGGAAATCTGTTTCATGACAAGGTGAATATACTTAACACTACTGAACTATATACTTAAAAATGGTTGAAATGGTCAACTTTTTCTGTTTTTACCACAATTTTTTTAAAAGAAGTGCCAACATACAATTATCAAATTGCATGTACATGTCCCATCTCCACTGCAGGAGTCTAAGCAGTCTGACCCTTTAAACTGTTGGCAGTCATTTGAGGAGTTATTCCAAGTTATCTTTTTGAATCAATGGGCCTCTACAAAAGATCCAGAGGCTCTCCTTTTTACCCATCCAAAATGAAGTTTCTACAATCCTCAGTTGGCTGCATTCTGGTTTAAGTCCACTACTTATTTACCTTATTGTCAAGCATAGATCTAAAAATTATATAAAAGCCACTGTGTTTTCAACTGGGTGGGGGAGAAGCATAACAGAATCACCTACTGAGCTTCTTCAAATCACCCATCAACCTCAATATCTAGCATTCTCCCCCAGGAGAAAAGCCTCAAGGTTCATGTGATTCTCTACTCAAGCACTCACTGCTTCCCCAAACACACATCCCACCCAAACCACAGAAAATCAGCACTTTTAACCACCACCTTGAAAATGGCCTTCAGAACAATCTCACCCAGATTAGGCTGAGGTTCCTGAACTTTTAATAAGCCTTTTCTGTGAATCCTACAGCTCTCTGTAACCTACCATTTATCTACTGAAACATTATTTTGTTATGCAATTTACTATACCTTGCTTCCTGTTACAAAGGATCATCATTAAGATCCTAATTTAAAAAATAAAACAATACTGAGACTCATCATTAAGATCCTAATTTAAAAAATAAAACAATACTGAGACTCTTTGAAGAATCACAGGCATTTCTCAAACTGGAAAAGAGACACAGTTTAGGAACCATATTCAGGCTTCCTAACATGTTTCACAAGAGCACATTCTGAGCTAGGAGTCAAATCTGCCCCCCACTACACAAACAAACACACAAGCATGCACACATATGCACACAGAGCACTCTCTTCGTATGTCAAATACCAGCTACTAAGAAGTTAGGCTCTGGGAAAGCATACTGGCAGAAGCTTCTGAGGTCTTCAGTGGAGCAGCTACAAGTATGGTTAGGGAAAAGGGAGGAGTTAAATCAACTACACATTTAACCCACATTTCAAGAACATGTGTTTCTGAAAAGTCTTTAAAAGTCAAGCAGTATGGTTCAGAGCCACAGCCCCATGATTCTTGCAAGAATATGGAAAAAAACTGACTCCATTTTTATTCCTAGGTATATACAGGTGAAGCAAGCAATAAAAGTCAAATTTGGTGAAAATTTTAGGACATCCTATTAATTTATATTTCTATATCTTATAAGCATCTCCTAATAAGCAGACTCTCTCTTCCTGAAGACATGGGATACCACAGTCCAGTTAGCAGCTAAGAGCATCAAGAACTGATGATAAGCATCAAGAACTGAAAAGAAACGTAAAATAGAAAAGAAATGTAAAAATAGAGGTTCAGGCCGGGTGCTCATGCCTGTAATCCCAGCACACTGGGAGGCCGAGGCGGGCGGATCACCTGAAGTCAGGAGTTCAAGACCAGCCTGGCCAATATGGTGAAACCCCATCTCTACTAAAAATACAAAAAATTAGCTGGGCATGGTGGCACACGCCTGTAGTTCCAGCTACTCAGGAGGCTGTTGCAGGAGAATCGCTTGAACCCGGGAGGCAGAGGTTGCAGTGAGCCGAGATCACATCACTGCACTCCAGCCTGCATGACAAGAGCAAAAACTCCGTCTCAAAAAAAAAAAAAAAAAAGATTTCAATCAATTCTGGGAGCTAGAGACTATTAAAGGAAAGGCAATGAGCCCAAAAAATACCAAATTAGGCCGGGCGCAATGGCTCACATCTGTAATACCAGCACTTTGGGAGGCCAAGGCGGGAGGATCGCTGGAAGTCAGGAGTCCTAGACCAGCCTGGCCAACATGGCGAAACCCTGTCTTTACTAAAAAAACAAAAATTAGCTGGGTGTGGTGGCACACGCCTGTAATCCCAGCTACTTGGGAGGCTGAGGCAGGAGAATCGCTTGAACCCAGGAGGCAGAGGTTGCAGTGAGCAGAGATGGTGTCACTGCACACCAGCCTGGGTAACAGACTCCATCTCAAAAAAAAAAAAAAAAAAAAGCAAATTACATTTCCTATCTAGATAAATAATTTACAATATGAAGAAAATGAATTACAGAAAGATAACATGGAGCCAGAGTAAAAGACACTGACCATAGTCAAGTCTTGATTATAGGAACACGATCGTTTGGCACACAGCCCTTTGCTTTTCTTTCTCAATAGCTTCTTTCTGAGCAGTTCAGAACTCATTATAAAAAGAAGCAAGTCGGCCAGGTGTGGTGGCTCCTGCCTGTAATCCCAGCAGTTTGGGAGGCTGAGGCAGGCGGATCACCTAAGGTCAGGAGTTTGAGACCAGCCTGGCCAACATGGCGAAACCCTGCCTCTACTAAAAATATAAAAATCAGCCAGGTGTGGCGGCGTGTGCCTGTAATCCCAGCTACTCGGGAGGCTGAGGCAGGAGAATCGCTTGAACCCAGGAGGCAGAGGTTGTAGTGAGCCGAGGTCATGCCACTGCACTCCAGCCTGGGTGACACAGCGAGACTCCATCTCAAAAAAAAAAAAAAAGAAGCAAGTCGCTGAACCACAAAACCATCAATGACTATACCTGTTCATAGCTTTGGTAAAAGGCTTTGTGGAAAAAGTAGAAAGAGAAAAGAAATAACCACAATTAACTTTCATATCTGTGAAATTCATTTAACCTAGACCTGCTCTGTGGGAGGAAAGAGGAAAAAAGGAATCCAATGGCAGCAGCACTGGCTGTCAGTTCTGCTCAAGTTGCCTTTGAGTGACCCCCGAGTTTGTGTGAACCAGCAATTCTCCCTCCCCAAGCTGGCATTCATAACAAGCACACATTCTCCTGCCTTTCCTGAATTGGAAAAAGGGAAATCTAACATTATGTAATTGCCTGCTTCCCGCAATTTCAACTTAGGCATACTAAATCCTAATTAGAGGGAGAACTTAGTGCAACATGACAAGCAACAAATTGGAAATCTACAGGTTGAAATTTCTCATCCCAGACTCCAGAGGCAAAGAGAAATGGCTTCGCCTGACTTTGTGGCACACCCACCAATGCACTACTACTTACTACGGGCCAGCTAAAGCAGCTCCTGACATCCCTCCATGTCATTTTGGTGTCATCTCTCTATGCCTTTAAGAAAACACTCTGTTCTATTTGCAAATGGGGTTATCTTACTCTCTCCAGGCCAGAATAAAAGGAGAAAATGGTTGTTGACTGGTGAACATTACCTACCATTAAAAGATCTGCCCTGATGGTTTTTTGTACCCTCATGATCACAAACCAAATCACTGTGTTGCTCTGTCCCTTATGCAAATCATCCATGTTTAAAAGACCCAGAAGCCACAAATCTTTCCCATGCTTCTAAGACTCACTCCAGAGCTCATCAACAGTCCACTGAATAAAAATAAATGAGCTATCATTTAAGAATAATTAACTTAAATATAACCTTTGAAAGCAAGGTGTCATCAAAGCATGTGGGTTTTGTTTTTGTTTTTGATTAGCTAGGCATAGAAAAAAACTAAAAGCAAAAATTCAATGAGGCCAATTGATTTCCCATACCAAAAAAGTAGAAGTGCAGCAGATAGAAGGTCAGATTGTCAGTCTCAAGGGATAGTGGAACACCCTTATTTTACTGCGTCTGTCTGTAGAATAAGACCCAAACTTCTGTGTGAGCAATGGCAGAATACCACAATGCTTATCTCTCCCGGAAGAAGGAAACCCCCTCACCTCAAGGGCATTCACCCAACCAGCAGGGAAGTTTCTTCTCTGCTGGCTCAGATTACTCCACTGGAAGGTAGGGTGGCGCAACATAAATCAGTCCCATTTTCAACAGGAAGCTCCTACACGTTCCTGTTTTATGTCCTGTTTTATCTCTCCACCTAACACCCCCAGCCCCAATCTCTGGTTACCCTTACATGTCGCTGAGAAAAAAGGTCTAAAATTTAGTTGGCCATGGTCCAGAAACAAGGATGGTACACCTAATTTCTTCCGCAAATGGAAATGAGTTTAAAAAGAGAAGAAAAAGATGAACCAAAATAAACTGAGTTTAGCTTTTCTAAAGAGCTAAAGAGTACATTATGCTCTGTGCAAATAAAGATTTCTTTAAAAATGAAACAAAACAAAAAAGCCTACAGGCTCTACTATGTAGAAACTTTAACTCATATTTTCTTTTTCTGTAACTTTGTCATTTAATTATGAAGCTCGGTTACCAATGTTGTTTTCATAGCTTTACAACCTCACCACAGATCGTTCGTTTCCTTAAGTTTTGCATCTCCTCATTTTGGATATTTAATAAATACTGAACTCTTAAGTGGGGGGAGAAAGTAGTAAAATTTTAACATAACAGGCTCTAAGGTAGGAAAAAAAGAAAAGAAACGAGTGCAATTAAATATGGACACCTGTCTTCCAATCACTGCCTAGTCATTAACCAGTTCTATAACCTTCAACAAATCACTTCAACTTTCTGGGCTTCAGTTTCCTCATACGTAAAATGGGAAACATGAGCCAAATGAGTCAAAATCCCTCCTAGTTCCAACAATCCATGAATCTGTCCAACAAAAAGTAAGAAAACCCTATTACAAATAAGACTTTATAGTTTACAAAGTACTTTCATACATGTATTCTCATCAATTTTTGTAGCTCATCTGTGAAGCAAGTCTTGAGCCCATCTCCGCAGGAAACAACAGTAAAGTTCAGAAAGAAGTTCAATTATTTTTCAATATCTCACAACGAAAATGGCAGGGCAGGTATTTGAAACCCAGACCTTCTGAGGACAAATTCTAGGTTACATTATTTCAAAATGTTAAAATATATTAAAATTCAAAAATAATTGCCTATTATGTATAACCTTTACGAGGGCATCAGGGTACCATAACTCCATGCCAGAAAATATTACTACAAATGGTCCCACTGGACTACAAGTTCCATGTGGCCAGGTACACTCTTGCTCATCACTGTAATCACAGAAACCAAAAGTGCACCTGCCAGATAGCAGCATTCAATAAATATTGCTTGACTCACCACTCAAAAGGTTAGGAATATAGGGATGCTATGGGGAAAAAAAGAAATTTCTGAATTTATTTTCAGATTTGAACTTCCATGATTTGATCCAAAGGGGAAAAAAAAAAGTGTGCTCTATCAGCGCTCTAGTTCTTTATTATGGGAATGAGTCTATTTGTCTTCCATAGAGAAAATCTAATATGGTCAGTGAACCAAAAGGCTCAAATCTGAGATGTCAACAAAAAATCTTCAGGATATTCATACTTCATTTGTGCACTGATACGGACCAATAACAATGATAATACAACGGTAAGGACTGATAAGAGGCACATAGTCACATTATTAATCATGACAAACTTTCCATCAAATTCCACTCTCATACCATTTCAGCTCTCCTCATGCTCCCATTTCACAGCTCAAACAGATTTTTAAAAAAAGAAAAACAGTCATTTATCTAAAAATTCAGATTGCAACTTAAGATAGAACATATATACATCACAACTCAACCAAGATCCCCCCGAAGTCTACAAAACTGCTAATCTCAAGCAATCTTCAATCTATGACTTCAATAAACTCACTAGAAAGTGTTTTTTAAAAGTTCCTAAACAATGAAGATGGGGGCACTATACCAAAATTACACACATACTTCAAAGCAAAAGCAAAGCAAATGCAGAAGCCTGAAAATACTAGTGTAAGGACAGAGACAAAAGAAGAGTTAAATGAATCTCAGTACAAAGTATCAGAGAGGTGCTTTGCAATTATTACCTGGAGTTGAAGTCAACCTTGCCATAGACTCCTCCAATGAAATCACAACTATCACTGACTGATACTTCAGATTTTAAAAGTTCACTGTACCAGAATTGCAATTTCAAACTCGAGGAGCAGAAGCAGGAACTGCAGAGAAGCTAACAACAGCAACACCTACTGACTGTCTCAAGCCACTCACCAAACTTGTTCACTCAGTCAACTAGAAAAATCAAATGACAGTCAACTTCAAGAGTCCTTTACTTAAGCATTAATAAGAAAATTAGTTGTCAGAGACATAAAGCCATTCATCCCCCAAATCTCTTATTTTGCCTCTAACCATTTATGTGGAAACAATCACTCATCATTTTAAATGCACTGTTAATTGTTAATGCTTTAGCATAATTGATTCCATGGGAAAAATGTTTTAATATTAATATTGTAGTTAATAACTGGGATGTCATCTAATAGTTGGACACATCGGTGGCCATAATAAATTAGCTGAGACCTACTGTTATTACCACTGTTCCATATTATCCTCTTTTTTAAATCCTGGTAAAGGTAGCTTAATTGCAGCTTTCAAAAAACGAAGAGAAAAATGACAGTCGTTAAATCAGGATTATATAGAAAACTAATATTATTACTAAACTGGCTGCAGAATTCAGTATGATCTAACCTTGCACGTTTCCAAAAGATTCAGTCAGAGAATCTTTGCCTTGGACGGATACTCCATAGGAGAAAACAGGAGAAAGTTGACACTTAACTCCCACAGAGTACCAGCATAAAGACAATGGCTTTAAGAGTCTGACTCAGAGTTTCAACATGAAAGGTTTGCTTTATAGAGGAAACGCCAATCCCAGTCCATCCAGATAGACCTGGAACCTGATGAAAGTCGACACCTTTATTCTGAAATTTGCATCACATCGCTGGCTCCAGTTTAGAAACATGATCGTTTCACAGGTAGTATGCATTTCAGCGAATGCTGCCTCTAAACTACCCGTCAGGAAAAATAAAATCTATAAGGTAATCGTAGTCTAGGAGCCATCAATCCCCAAATGCTTCTCTTAGAAAACGAATGCCAACAATTTAGCTAAACATCTTCCTTGGAAGTGAGCCATTTCCCATGTCTCTCTGTTCTCCAAACCGCGATGAAATTTCAACCTGCCCAACACGATTACTGGTCCACCTAGAAATGCCGTGGAGCGATTTAAGAGCCTCGGAAATTTCCTTTAAGGTCAGGAGAGAAGCTGGTAACAGATGGGGCGAAGGAGGAAAAGTTCTTTTTGCGGCACCCTCACGCCTTCCCAGCCCTTTCGCGGTTTACTCGCTCCCCGGAAAGCAGGTTAGAGCATCCCAAAATTTCATGTCCCCAAGACCCCCAAAGGGGAAATTAACCACCCTCGGGCACCGAGCTGTTCGTCTCCATTTCCCACAACTCAACCAACTCGGCCTGCCTACTCCAGCTCAGGCTGCAAAGCGCTCACCCAGGTGACTGGAGGGGAAGGGTCGCCAGGTGGCGACCAGCTCAGCGGGGTGGACGCAACCGCCCGGACCGGGACGCGGGTCTCCTGGCCTCCCGCAGAGACGCCTGCCCAGTAGTTGTGCAGATTCGGGTTCTGGGGTGCGTGCGCGCGCGCCGGGCGCGGTGAAGCCGGACTCGCCCCCGCCGGGCTAAGCTACCAGCAAGCCACCAAATCGAAAATCAAACTTTAACCGGCCTCCTGGGGTCCTGCTCCGGGCCCTGGACCCCAACCCCGGCCAGAAACAGGGCAGGGGGCTGTCAGCCGTCCTGCACCCCCGCTCCCCCCAGGACCCGGGCGCGGGGACCACTTACCGCTCGGCCCGGCCTCCCGGTGCCGCCGCGCGTCCCGGGCGCGTCCGCCGCGCGCTCTCCCTGGGGAGAAAGAGAAACCGTGTAGACGGCCGGCGCGCGCTCACTCGCCGCCTCCTCTGCGGAGAGCGGCGAGGCCGGCCCGAGGCGGGCGCCGAGCGCGGAGCGGAGGGGGGCCCGAGGGAGGCGGGGGTGGAATCAGCCCAATTCCCGAGGCTGGCTCCGAGGGGGACCCGGAATACAGGCTGGCGGGGGGCCGGCGGGGGCCGAGCTCCCGGAGGAGGGGAAGGCGGAGGTGGCCCCGTCCTTGGGCATCAACTATTGTCTAGGCGCCCGGGCCCCCGCTCGCGCCGTCCCCGAGGCTCAGCGCCCCCATCCCGCCCGCCAGCAGAAAGAACTGAGGGGGCGGCCAGTACGGGAAGCAAGTGCGGGGGTCCGGGCTCCGAAGGTCCAAGGTGGGCGCGAGGTTGCCGGGGGGGGGATGAGGAGGTGCGTACCGCATGGGGGAGGGGACAGGTAAGTGCGGACGGGGGCGGGAAGGCCCCAACGACCGGTGGGGGAGGAAATGGGGAGGGAGCCACAGAGGCGGGAGGGAATGGAGTGGCTGCGGGGGCGGCCTCTGGGGCCCAGACCTGGCCCTCCCCGGGGACCCTCCAGCCGGGGACTCGGCGCTGCACTGACTTTTCGCTCACTCGCTCACGCACGCACTGAACTCGCTCACAAAGTTGCCGGCAGTGGCGGCGCCTCACTCGCCCTTCCCCTCCCCGCCCCGCCTCCCGCCCCATTCCTTCCCCTCCTTCACTCCTCCCTCTCCCCCAAGTCTCGGGTGAGATCACCACGGAGCGGCTTAGCGCGGCGCACAAGTCTCGCGAGAGAAGCGGCGGCTGGGCCCTGCAGGCGGAGGAAGTGGAAAAAGTCGCGGGAGGGTAGGGGACCGCGGAACTTCTGGTTGCTATGACGACGGCAAAGCCCTGGATTCCTGTCTCCTGCGGAGAGCAGAGGCTGCAAACGTGGGTGCAGTTTTCAACCTGCCCGGCGCACTGGCGGTGGGGAAAGCTAGGGGTGGTTGCGGAAGGATAATTTTTAAGCCGATTCAAGAGGGCATCTCGAGAGGACCACAGTCATGATATCTGGCCAAATTTGGCAAATGAGACTAATGTATTAAGAGGTTCTGGGACAGGTTTCTGCCTTTCTAGGCAGCACATATCTGCACCCCAAATTTCTACTATATATTCAGTTTTTCGGCCTTCTCTTTCAATCTAATTCCTCCATCCCCACACTCCCCATGCTGCCTCCCTCCTCCTCTTCTCAACTCGCAAACACACGCAGACTGGGCTCCTTCAGGAACTGGCTCATTCATCTCTGTATTCTCAGCGCCTCTATAGGCTTGGTCCATACTACATATTGGCCACTTTTTTGACAAGTTGAACGCAACAGTCCATGCCTGTCCTCAGTACTTGCCTTTGGCCCTAACCTAGAGAGTTCAGTCAAGTTTGGACTCTATCAAGCTACCCTCCCATTTCTGTTAACACCTTGTCTTTTTCAATGGTAATAATCTCTGCTTTCTCCATATTTTTCTCGTAAAAACCCTATTCACCATGGTGAGGGGAACTTTTTTTTTAATCATTAGGCATCCGCAGACGCCTTTATACGTACTCCAAAATGCTAGTAAGGATGAAGATGAACTCTCCTCAGCCCGTGTCTTTTAACTGTAGAAACTTTTCTGAGGTGAGGGTTATTATATACTCACTGCCTAAGTAAAATGGATATTATGAATAGAAGTTAAACTTTAGATTTCAAAATGAATGAGTAAAAATAGATACCATTGTATGTGGATTATATCTCAATTTTTAAAATTCCTATCCATGAACATGGGGAAACCATTATTTAACTCAGTCCCACAGAACTAGAAACCTAAAGCATAACCTAAGCATATGAGGACTAGGCAGTCAAAACTTGTAAGTCACTTGCAAGTTTAAATCCTGTCAATGAAAGTTTGTGTATTAGAAACCTAAGTGATACTAGACAAAGTCAGCAAACTAGGGTTTACGTTTTTCTGTGCCACTAATAATTGAGTCTCCTTGAGAAGTTATTTAATCTCTCTGATTCTTCATCTGTGGGGGGTACCCCACATGTTAGGTTATTACAGCTTTAAAATTCTATAGCTGGCCGGCATGGTGGCTCACATGCATAATCCCAGCACTTTGGGAGGCCCAGGTGGGAAGACTGCTTGAAGCCAGGAGTTTGAGACTATCCTGGGCAACATAGAGAGACCCTGTATCTACAAAAATAAAAAATATTAGCTAGGTATACTGACATGCACCTGTAGTCCCAGCTATTCAGGAGGCCGAGGCTTGAGAATCACTTGAGCCCAGGAGTTAAAGGCTGCAGTGACCTCTGATCACACCACTGCACTCCAGCCTGAGCAACACAGTGAGATCCTGCATCTAAATATATATACACATATGTATGTGTGAGTATATATATATATATATATATATATATAATTTAATATAAGAGCTCTTAGACCTATAAAATTTTCCAATAAATAACAAATCTTCCTTTTACAGCAAATGATAAAAAAAGTTTCATCTTATAGTAGGTCAGTTTCACAAAGAGTAGCTATATGTTGACAATTTTCTTTAAATGTTGACAATTTTATTTTAAAATTTATCTTGTCCCAACTACAAAAACAACAAAAATATTGACCATGTTACAGTAATTTCAAAGGTAATCTATAGTTCATGATTTGCTTTTACACTAACTCAAAGCAGATTCCTTGTTATTTAATAAATACTCTAATTAAAACCAAAGACCCAAACTAAATACATCCATACTCCCAAAATAACTATAAGGAAAGAGGGAGGGAGGGAGGAAGGAAAGGAAGGAAGGAAGGAAGGAAGGAAGGAAGGAAGGAAGGAAGGAAGGAGCGAAGACTAGATCTGTGGAAGGAAGGAAGGGAGGGAGGGAGGAGGGGAAGGACGGAGGGCCTCAGATTCATTTACTGGTGTGTTTAATATCACATTTTCACAAAGAAACACAATGGAACATCACCATCAGTCCTGTGAATCTGTTTTAAGGAACCATTTTTCATAACATTGCAAAATATTATAAATCAGTTGTTGCTCATTTGTTCTGGCTTAGCTTTTAACATAATTTTGCCCTTAAAAGATGGCTGCCAATCTACATCCACCAACGCAGTACAATTTCAGGACCATCTGTTTTATGACTCCCAGATAGCCATTTGAAATAATTGACCCAAATGCTAGCCAAATCTATTAACATTCTTCAGTGCTTCATATAAGGCTCAAGAGATGGGTGTTGGCCTCAAATTACAAAAATAACCTCCCTAATCTTCAGACATAGTAAAATAGTAGAAATTGTCCCAGGGATCTAAAACTGCTTTTTCAAGGCCCTGGGCTACTATTTATCCCTCACTGATGGCAGAACTTTCATCCGTGTTTCTAAAGGAGATAAAAAGTGAAAGCTACCAAAGCCTAGTTTCCAACTGCACATTCTCTAGGTCAGTCACTCCTGCTGTATCTTCCTGACCTTCCTAGGTTTCAAAATAGCAGATGTCAGGCAGCAGAAGAGGGAAATGCGGAATGGAGAGTTTGCCAAGAGCACAGACTAGATCTCAGTCCACTTCCTGTCCACTGTCTTGGCTCCTCTACCCATCTCTGCTCAACCCCTTGCCTTTGCCCTCCAACACAAAGGATATGTAACCTTTCTAGTGATAAGAACATCTAGTCATTTGCTATGTTGTTCCCTCCCTATTTGCTTCTTATTTCGTTAAAACCCAGGTGAATTCATTTCCCTCTGGTTATTTACCTCTACTCAACAAAACACCCTAATGTATAGTGTATACCAAATATAGAATGAATTTTGACACAGAGGCCTACCATACAAATTTTATGTATTTTTTAATATTATAAACACTGACTCACATTTGCATGTTTTACATTTAAAATCTGATTTAACTGGCCTATTCAGAACTCCAGTAGCTGTACATCTGCAGGGCATTATTCTAAGTGATATTTAGAAAGATTACTCTAAATCATTACAAAGGTCCAAAGTGCCCTCAAAATTATTCAGGATTAAATGATATCCCATGTTGTTTTAATTTTAGGGTGTTATTATTTTAGCCTTATTGATGTAACTCTGTTTACATGAATACTGGATTCCTTAGCAAATGCCCCTTCTCTCATTTACATAGTAGTATTCATTACAAGTTTAAAACACCAACTACTTTATAACGTTGTTATAAATAATTATAACGTTCTGTTAATCAATTAACAGCAAAACTACTATACTTCCCTGTGCTCTTCCCTCCTCTTTAAAGGACTGTTTCACATCTTCTCCTCCTTAATCAAACCTCTGCCTAGTACTTCTAGCTAATGGCCTTGCTCCCTCTTTTGTTGGTAAAATAGAAATAATCAGAAGAGAACTGAACACACATACCCTCTCTATCACTCTTGTCTACCAACCTGCCTGCATCTGTCTGCATATACTCCTCTGTCCTTCCTGTCATTTATGAACTCTTGGTGCTCTTAGCCAAGATTAGCCTCGGTCTGTGCATTAGTGCCATCACCTCTAACTCAGGGACATTGATTCAGCAACTGTCCCCACTCTCTCTTGAATCAGCAAATTTTCCTTCTCTACTGCTTCACTTCTAAGGGCTTACAAGCATACTGGAATATCTGCCGTGGTAAAAACTAAAATGCTTCCTAAATTTTATGTCTCCCCCTGCTTCACTTTATAACTGGAATCTTCAAAAGGCTCTTCCATGCTTGGTGTCTTCAATTCCTATCCTTCCCTTCCCATGAATCCACTCTGAGCAGCCTTTCACCCCCACTACTCCACAGCAACAGGTCTTCTCAGGGGCATCAGTGACTGCCTTATTGCTAAATCTGGTGCTCAACTTCCAAGCTCACCTGGCTGGAGCCCTCAGCAGCAGGGAAGAGGTCAACCATGCTGGTTCTTGAAATGTTTTCTTCCCTTGGCTTCTGAGCCAAGAGTCTATCCTAGTTCTTATCCTACCTTTCTGGTCTTTTTAGTCTTGAACCTCTCAACATAGGAGGCTCCAGGACTCAGACTTTGGACATCTCTTTATGGTCTCTTTTCACTCTGTGGTGAGCTCACCAGTCTGATAGTTTTAAATACCATCTATACATTAAATACTCCCAAACTTACACCTCCAGGCTAGTCATCTCCCCCATCTCCAGATTTGTACATCCATCTGCTACTCAACATCTGCAATTGATTATGTACTAGGTATTTCAAATTTCACATGTTTAAAACTGATGAGCTCCAAATATTCCCCCAAAAACCAGTGCCCTCCTGAACTCCAGATATCCCTCTCAAAACCGGTTCCCTCTGGGAGGCTGAGGTAGGTGGATCATGAGGTCAAGAGATCGAGTCCATCCTGGCCAACATGGTGAAACCCCATCTTTACTAAAAATACAAAAATTAGCTAGGCATGGTGGCGCGTGCCTGTAGTCGCAGCTACTCAGAAGGCTGAGGCAGGAAAATCACTTGAACCTGGGAGACAGAGGTTGCAGTGAGCCGAGATCACGCCACTGCACTCCAGCCTGGCGACACAGCAAGACTCTGTCAAAAAAAAAAAAAACAAACACTTCCCTCCAGCAGTCTTCCCCAACTCTGTTAAGGATATCTTCCCAGAGGTTCAGAGGTTTTGTTCAGAGCCAAAGTCTTGGAATCATCCTTGACTCCTCTATTTCTCTCTCATCCAAACCATCAACAAATTCTGATGGTCCTTTCTTCAAAATATGTGTAGAATCCAACCACTTCCACCCACTGCAGCTCCACCTCTCTGATTCAAGCCATTTCTCACCTGGATTATCACAATTGTCTCTCTACTGGTCTCCTAGTTGGTTTCCCTACTCCTGCATTTCCCCTCCAATAATTTGTTCTACACACAGGATCCAAAGTGTGGAGCATGAGTAAGTCTAATCTTGTCACTTCTCTGCTAACAAAGTTTCCAGGACCTCTCACCTCACTCGGAGAAAAAGCCCCAGTTCATATTCTGGCCCAGGAACTGTATATTCTTTGACTCCCAATCCCTCCCTCTCTCCCCTCCCTCTTTCTACCCCAGCCACACTGGCATTCCTGCTATTCATTGACTATACTTGGTGCTCTACTGCCTCCAGGCCTTGCATTTGCTCTTTCCTCTGCCTGGAGAGCTTTTTCCCCAAATATCTGCATGATGCACTTTCTGGGTCTGTTTAGATGTCTGTACAGAGGTAACTGTTGGTAATCTGCCTGCTTGCTCTTGGGTGCCCTCTCTTGTCCTGCTCTACCTTGCAGTAGGGCTGAACCCCATGGGCCATGTTTTCAAGGATGCCTTGTCAGGGGCTTCCAGCTGGGTTCAGCCATCAGGATGCATAACAGGAATTTGGACAGATGGAATAGACAAGTGAAAGCCATTCCGCTCCTCTCTCTGTCCGCTTCAGGCAGAGTTTTAGTAGCAAGTGCATCTCCTGCATGGCCCCAGGTTCCACTGGGTGAGAACCATCCCCAGGCTCTGATATAATTTCAGCTGGAGGGTGATAGTAGCTTCCTAGTGTTAAGAATCTGTGGGTTTCCAGCTGGACACGGTGGCCCACGCCTGTAATCCCAGCACTTTGGGAGGCCGAGGCGAGCAGATCACCTAAGGTCGGGAGTCGGACACCAGCTAGACCAACGTGGAGAAACCCAATCTCTACTAAAAATACAAAATTAGCCAGGCGTGGTGGTGCATGCCTGTGATCCCAGCTACTGGGGAGGCTAAGGCAGGAGAATCGCTTGAACCCAGGAGGCAGAGGTTGCGATGAGCTGAGATTGAGCCATTGCCCTCCAGCCTGGGCAACAAGAATAAATCTCAAAAAAAAAAAACAAAAAAAAGAAAACTCTGGGTTCCCTCATCACCCTGGTTAATTTATCAGTTCTTCCATCCACCATGTAGTTCCCCTGTATAAAAATTCTCTCATTTTGGCCAGGCACGATGGCTCATGCCAGTAATTCCAGCACTTCAGGAGGCTGAGGAGGGCGGATCACTTGAAGCCAGGAGTTTGAGACCAGCCTGGGCAACGTGGCCAAACTCCGTCTCTACTAAAAATACAAAAACATTAGCTGGAGGCTGAGGTGGGAGGATCGTTTGCGCCCAGGAGGTGGAGGCTGCAGTGAGCCAAGACTGCACCACTGCATTCCAGCCTGGGTGACAGAGACCCTGTCGCAAAAAAAAAATAAAAATAAAAATTCCCTCTTTTTGAATGATCAAGAACAGCTTCCATTCTCCTAACTACACCTTGATTGCTACAGTCACCCCTTACAAAATAGCAATCACCCCAATCTCATACTCCCCACACAGTTCTATTGCTCTCTGAAGTCTATCACTCCCTGACATATTATCTAATTGTTTGTTGGTTTATTGTCTGTCTTTCATCTAGAAGGTAAGATCCCTGAGGGCAGGAACTCTATGTCTGCTTTATTCACTGCTGTGTTCCTAGCACCTAGAACAGTGCCTGGCACATAGTAGGCACTCAACACATGTTTTTCATATAAGCCAATAGTGCTCATTCAGACAAAATAAAACTGCTAGCAGAGTGTGGTAAAGAGAACACCCTTACCCTCCAAGATGTCCACATCCTAATCACCAAAACCTGTGAATATGTTACCTTATGTGGCAAAAGAGATTTTATAAAGATATGATTAAGTTAAGGATCTTGAGATAGGGAGATTATCCTGGATTATCTAAGTGGACTCAATGTAACCACAAGGTTTTCATAAGAGGGAAGTAGGAGGGTCAGAGTTAGACATGGAGATGTGACCACAGAAACAGAGTCAGAGAGAGATCTGAAGATGCTACATTACTGGCTTTGACAGTGGAGGAAGAGACCATAAGCCAAGGCATGTAGACAACCTCTAGAAGCTGGAAAGGCAAGAGAAACAGATTATGAAATCCCCTATAGATTTCATAAGGAATGCAGCCCTGCCACTATGTTGATTTTATCCAAGTGAAACTCATTTCAGACTTCTGACCTCCAGAAATGTAAGGTAATAAAATGGTGGTGTTTTAAGCTACAAATTTCATGATAATTTGTTATAGCAGTAATAGGAGACTAATAGTGTTTAATCAGGTATGTAAGCTCTTTGTAGTCATAATGTGTGTCTTGTTTGCTCTTAAATCCCTATAATTTAATACAGTTCCTGACAAAAATAGGCACTCCATAAATGTGCAATGAAAGAATGAAGTTTAACAGCAAAGCAGAATCAGGGCTCCCATTCTGATGGAGTGGAAAATCCCTTACCTGGCTTTCTGGCTCAGAAAGCACCTTGATATTAGGAAGCCTTTGTGAGCCTTCTGAGCCGTGAAGTTATAGGGGTATAGGGTAGAGGCAATCCAGGTCTTATGCACCAATGTCAGCTAGAGAGAATGAGGACAAGTCACAAGGGCCTTGTGTGATATATTCAGGACTTGGGCTTTATTCTGTAGGCAATAGGGAGCCATTGAAGGATTTTCAGCAAGGGTGGAAACATTCAAATTTGCGTTTATGATGCACAGAATATTAGAAGCATGAGATTTAGAAATCCATGGGTTGGAGAAGAGATTAGAACTGCAAACATAAATTTGGCAAGCAGTAGCTTATAATTGCTAATGTGATGCATTTAGATAATTTTTTTTTTTTTTTTGAGAAGGAGTTTCACTCTTGTTGCCCAGGCTGGATTGCAGTAGTACAAACTCAGCTCACTGCAACCTCCGCCTCCTGGATTCAAGTGATTCTTCTGCGTCAGCCTCCAAAGTAGCTTGGATTACAGACGCCTGTCACCATGCCTGGCTAATTTTTTTGTTTGTTTGTTTGTTTGTTTGTTTTTGCATTTTTAGTAGAGATGGGGTTTCTCCATGTTGGTCAGGCTGGTCTCGAACTCCTGACCTCAAGTGATCTGCCCGCCTCAGCCTCCCAAAGTGCTAGGATTACAGGCGTGAGCCACCGCGCCTGCCTAGATAACATTTTAATTAAAATGCACCCTCACAAACTTTCTTTCCTTGTCATAGGCATTTTCTTCTGAAACATTTTCCATTGAGCTACTCATGCCTTTCCTGGGTTTTCAGGCAATTTTCTTATAAACATGGATAAAATAAAATGAAATAAAAATCCCAAAAAGGATGAAAAGTTCTGGCCCACCAATACTTTTGACCTTTTCCTCTATACTATAGACATCAACACAAGCTATTACAGTTATAATATTTATATATATATATATATTTTTTTTTTTTTTTGAGACAGAGTTTGCTCTATCACCCAGGCTGGAGTGCAGTGGCTCAATCTCAGCTCCCGGGTTCAAGCAATTCTCCTTCCTCAGCCTCCCAAGTAACTGGGATTACAGGTGCATACCACCATGCCTGGCTAATTTTTGTATTTTTAATAGAGACAGGTCTCACCATGTTTGCCAGGCTGGTCTCGAACTCCTGACCTCAGGTGATCCACTCACCTCGGCCTCCCAAAGTGCTGGGATTACAGGCATGAGCCACTGCAACCACCTCAGTTACATATATATATATATTTTTTAATTGTATCTGAACCATTTCAAGATTTTTTATTCATCCTACTATTAATATTTCCTTTTAGGGAGCCCTTTGAACCATTTAAAATAACTTCAATATTCTCTTAGGAGCCGGAAGTTCCCTTCCAAACAGCCCTTTCCCCTTTATTCCTTTCATCAGATTTCACAGTAGAGAAGGTGTCAAGGAAGGAAGGTGAATTTTAAAAGTCCTCTCTCTACTCTCTTGTCTTTTTAAAATCCCTAGAAATGAAAAGAGGCTTGCTCATGACTTGGAAGCGGTGGGCTGAGGCCTCCCAAGACCATCTGGCTTGTTCCATTGCCAGCCAGAGTGGAGGCGACATTCACACGAACCCAGGAGCTGCAGGGGCGCGTGAGCTACAGCTGCCTTGTGGCATCCAAGGAGTGCGCAGTGAGATTCCGCAGGAGAAATCACGCTTTGCATGTTCTTGAGTACAAGAAACATGTGTAATGAGGGTTTTTGTTTGCGGGCATGCCAAGGAGAACGACTGGAATATTAAAGTCATCACAGCCTTTATTTAAGGGAGAAGAGGACAAGCATGAATATGCTGATAGTTCAGAGATATTTAGGACCTTCAGCAGCTCAGCACTCATCCTAGATTTATACAAATACCTTTCCAGAGATGAAGTTTTTAAAAGCCTTTTAAAGGAATTTTATTTGTTCTTTTCACGTGGGGAAAAGTGATGAGTATATCTATGCAAGTATGAGAAATGGCCAAGGCCACTCCATGTAATTTTTTACTTATCCTATAGCTACACAAAGAAAATAGCACCAAGTGTTGTAGAGGAAAATCTACTAGACTTCAAGCCCGGCTTGAATTCAATTCTGTGCTCTAATTCAGACTCTATCTTTACTTAGCTGAGTCATATAAATTATTTAATTTTCTAGACTTCTCACTTCTCTTTCTTTCTTTTTTTTTTAGACTAGTCTCACTCTGTTGCCCAGGCTGGAGTGCAGTGGCGCGATCTCAGCTTACTTCAGCCTCCGCCTCCCGGTTTCAAGTGAATTCTCCAGCCTCAACTTCACAAGTAGCTGGGATTACAGGTGCGCACCACCCACCTGGCTAATTGGACTTCTCTTTCTTTAAATACAAAAGGAGAAGGCTAAGAGGCCATCCCTCCAGACTAAAAGTTTGTGTGTTGATGTGTTATCCTCTTTCAAGAGTCATTTTGCTTCTGGTCAGGAATCTTTGAGGGGTCTGTTTGCTCTTGGTCAAGAATCTGAGGTCTAGACTTTTGCTCAGAGTTGCTGAACCTCTCTCCCTTCCCGTTTGTTTTACTCTTCTTAGGATGATCTCTACCTTCTTCTCCCCTCTTCTGTCCCTAACACACCCCGTTCTACAACCCCATCTGAAATATCAAGGGTGACCATAACTCACTCGTAGGATGGAGAGGGATAAAGACTTCTGAGCAATTTTCACAGACACCTCCTGTTATCTGGTACTGGCTGTGACTGGCGCTGCTAGAGTGGATCTTGATCATTGCTTCTGGCATGGCCAGCCCATACCTGCTGTTCTTGTTGGCAGTGGAATTTTCAGGACTGCTGCTCCTAGCTGCTTCCTCTTAGAACCTCTTAGAACAGCCAGCTTCTAGGTCTCTGAGCTTCTGGGCAGTTCTTTTACTCATTCCATACTTCCTATAGAGGGCAGCACAAATCACAGTCTCTGCCAAGCACATGGAGTTGGGATCAATACCAGGACTCAGGATTGGCTTGTAGAATTTTTTCAAATTACCCTAGCTTGGCATGAGAGTATAGGAGCAAGAATGAATAGGCTAGGCATGGTGGCTCACACCTGTAATCCCAGCACTTCGGGAGGCTGAGGCAGGTGGGTATCTTGAGGCCAGGAGTTCGAGACCAGCCTAGGTAACATGGTGAAACCCCGTCTCCACTAAAAATACAAAAATTAGCCAAGGGTGGTGGCACACACCTGTAATCCCAGCAACTCAGGACACTGAGACAAGAGAATTGTTTGAACACAGGGGTTGGAGGTTGCAATGACCAAGATTGTTCCACTGCACTCCAGCCTGGGTGACAGAGTGAGATTCTGTCTCAAAATATATATAAAATAAGAATGAATAGAGCCCTCAGCATCACACCCATTGGCCTTCACTTGAGGACAGTTCAGCATGGTGCAGTCAGATGGAGCTGGCCTCAAGTCCCACGCCCACCTCCAGCTTAGTAACAGAGTGGTTTTAGGAAAAGTTACTTAACTCCTCTAAGCCTTCGTTTCTTATTTTTCAAGTGGGAATAATAATGATTGCTTCGTAAAAACACATGATTATTTTGAGGATTACGTGAGATCATACGTGTTTCCTTAGATCCTGTGGACTGGCTATCTAGAGGCTATCCACAACTCCCTTTTCCCTTGCCCTTTGAGTCTTCCCTGAAGTCTCCAGAACTAGCTTAACATAAAATGGGGGCTTTATTCTGAAAACTGTGAGTTCCAAAAGATACCCAGTGGTAGAAATACGTCCCATCTAAACCCCCTCCATCACTCATGTGCTCCTCTCTCTGCATCTGCCTCTACGTACAGCATTCTTCTCTCTTTCTAAAGAATAGTTTCCTCCATTTTTCTGGTCCACATAGGGAAAATATCTCCTGGGCTCAATCTGAATTCAAACATCTCCCCAGTTTTCAAAATACCTGGGGAGAAAAGGAACTGACTGACACAGCTTTAAATCAGGTGCCCACCTCTAGACCAATCAGCTGTGACCAGGAGCCTGGAGGCACATTGCATAAAATGTCATGGAGGAATCATGACAAGACTGAGGGGGTGGCAGTTCCCAGGGAAGAGGGCGGGCAGACAATAATAAATGTCTAGGGTGGAGGAATTATATAAGAAGCATTAAGACTAGGTTTCAGCCCTTAAGATTATAATATAGTTGGGGAAAAGGCACAAACATTGTCTTCAGTTTAAATTTATTTTGATGCTGAGGGGGTTAATGTAGGGAAAAACCAAAACAATCAATAGTGATAGAAAAAAATCTTGTATCTCTTGAGATCCAATCAGTGAAGCTCAACAGTGCAGTGGTGGGGGTGGAGTGAGAACTTTTCCCATTTTCTCTGGAAGACATCTGCTCCTCAGGACTTTCTGCTCTTATGGAGCTCTAAGACCCACTCCTTCTATTGTATTGAAATACAGGAAGCAAAAGCATTTATTTAGAAATAAAAAAGTGGCTAGAAGACAGGTCTTCTCAGAGAAGGAAACCATTTAAAGCAGGATCTTTCTGCCCTGGGCAGGAATTAATGAAATTAATGGAATGAAGGGGGATTTACTATACCCCTGAAAGAGGTTACAAAGTAGGATAAGACAGGATTAAGGAGCATAATTACTGTTCATGAAAAAGAGATCAAGAAGTTGGGGACAGCCCCAGGAAGCCAGTGGATCTTAGCCCATGGGGTGAAGAAAGTAGAGAAGGGAGGAGTGTTCCTGGAGGGAGAAAAAGCAAAGGAACTGAAAATGGGGTGAACATGGCGTATTTGTGGACAGTCACATTGTGCAAGAGAGTGCAGCAGTCCTTAAACTATGAGATTTTCAATGAAAGCACCCGGGGTACCTATTAAAATATAGATTCCTCACCCCTGGTGCAGAGGTTCTGATTTCGTTGATCTGGGGTGGGTCCAAGGATTGAACCTTAATAAGCCCTCTAGGGGCAGGGGGTCTGCAGAGTACAGCTTGAGAAACACTGGTATCTCCATTGGCACTACCTGTTAATTAGACAAAAGAAATGGCTTCTCTTTTGGGGTATGTGTTTGCTGGGTAAAACAACTAACTACCAGACTATGAAGTCCCCCCTGATGGCCCAAGAGAGCTGCCATCAGCCATTGCCACCAAGGCCACCAATTTGCCAGTGCCTCTTCCAGGGACTCCTTTGTACTCTCAGCCCCCAGAGGTGCCACTTGATTACCAGCTGATTTGGCCTTCATCTCACATCTGTGTGTTTTTACAGGATTACACCCAGCCCAAGATGCAACAGAATCAGTCTAGATGGTGAATTCTTCTCAGACAGTGTTGCTGTTCATGTCTTGCTGATTCATTTACTTGTCTTTCATATCTAATTATAGTTAATTTTTATATAAACTTAATAATCAGCATTTGTGTAATAGTAAAAGAGTGATTTGTTTACTTTAATCTAAAAAAAGAGGTTATGTGTTTGAAGAGGAAAATGTTTCTATTCCAAACTTCTCAAGAACTGGTACTATTTACTAATTGCATATTCTTTCTTTTTCCTTCTAAGCCACTTTTTATCTTCTCTCCTGCAATCCAACCCACATAATTTCCATGAAGAAAGCGGAGTGGTGTCATTTTACAACAAGAAAACTGAGTTAAGAATAAGTCCAATCAATTGCTAGGTGTTGAGACTGAAATGGAAGTCTCTTAGTACTCCACCCAAGGATTTTCATATTAAACAATTATCTTGTCATCATTTTATTTCTGAGTTATTCTCTTCAGTTTTTGTTCTCTTCAATTTTCAGAAAAATTGAAAATGCTAATAACATGTGTTCTGGTCCCTTGAATCAGAAATTTCAAGTACACGCAGAATGAATTTTCACTGACCCTCCTCCCCTGTGTGCTCAGATTTCTCTTATTCTTCATCCCATCTGTATTTCTGGGTTTTTTTGCAACAGTATTTCTCAGGACCTACCATTTGGGTGAGAAAGGAAATGTATCTGCCCTCTGTCTTTATGTTCATTTAATCTAGTGGTTCTCACTCCTTCATCACCATGAAGAGTCTTTTGGTCTTGTATCTAATTTCCATCTAATCTCATTCTATTAGAAATGTTAGTTCTATCGAGTGATTAACTCTTCCAATAATCAGCGGAAAGAATTATGAGGGTTCAGTCCTCCTGGGTCTAAAGTGCTAGATAGAATCCTATTTGAAATCTGTGTCCTGAGGTTGGTCAGGTTCCCTGGTCTATGCTGCCCAAGAACTCACAAAATGAGAAACAGCGCTTACTGGCCGCCACTAGTTGTGGTGAATCAGCCCAACTGTCCTCAAGTGTGTACCACCCTGCTCTAGTCAGGTGAACAGTAGCTATGAATACACGAGTTGATCTCTGGGGTGCTGAATAGTATACATAGAGCCCCCCTCAGGATTTTGTTTTGATTATTTATGGTTATATAACGAAGTAATCTAAAACTTAAGTGGCTAAAAAAACAATAATTTTATTATATCACAGATTTTGTGGGTCAGGGAATTCTGGCAGGGCCCAGCCAGGTGATTGTTCTGTTCCAAGTGGTATTCTGCTAAGAGTCTGCAGGCTCCACTCATCCCTCTGCACCTTGACAGATGTATGGAAGGCTGAACTCTTCTGGGACTTGGGACTGTTAACTGACTTCTCCAGCAAAACAGTCTCAGGGTATTCAGACTTACATGGCAGGGCTTCCAGAGAAAGTGTTCTGAAGGACAGAAAGTAGAAGCTTCCAGTGCCCAGAAATTGCCACAACATCACTTCTGCCATATTCTGTTTATCCAATTACATCACCTGCTTATGTAGTAAAGAATATGTAGCCATCTTTAATCCATCACAGAGTTTATTCACTAAACATTTAATAGAAGATGTAGTAAGGACCAGGCTCAGTGTAAGACGCTGGGAATACAGAGGAAATTTAACACACTCCTATAGTGTAGAGGCAAAGCCAGTATGTTGTGTAGTTCCTATTCACAACCTTTCAGTAGTTCTCCAACACAACATGTCAGCAAAACCTAGAATAAATTTTAGAAAGAGAGAATTTAAATGAAAAAGAAAATTCACTGTCTAATAGTCTCCAGTTGCTCGTAATTCAAATGTCTGTTTATCTAAACAACACCTGGCATGCAAATAAATTGTGACGTCGCATTGAAGCTTGAAGTGTTAGAGGGCAAAATAAATGGCAAAGATAACGTCTTTGAGGAATAGCTCTTGTGCATGCGAAGAAGAAACTGTAGTCAGAGCTTAGTGATAGAGGGATAAATTCCAAATGGCTTCAGTTCTCATCTATAAGGCAAGTGATTAGGCCAGTTATCACCCCTGGCAAACTTGTCAATCACAAATCAGAGAAAGCTCACCCTTGTAGCAGAATGTTAGGATCATGAAGGAAGAGCACAGCATTCACGTATCATCTTCTTGGGAGAAAAGGAAAATTAATATTTCTAGTTCAGCAGGCTTCTAGCTGGGATGTTGCTTAGCCCTGAAGCAGAGGTGTTAGGTAGAAAGCCACTTAGCTTAATAGACTGATACGTCACAATTGTTTAAGGTTTCAGATTTTCAGCAAGTGTTCCAGAGAATATGGTCATGCTGTAATAGACTACTGTGTTCTTGAAGCAAAAATATCATAAAGAGATTTTGGCTATGGAGAAACTGGTTTCGGTTCTTTTTAGGCATGTTTTCTTAGGGGCATGGCCATCAAGATCACGGACCTACAAACTGTTCCCTGAATTTCATGTTCTCTTGGGTCTCTGGGCTTTGCTCATGTTGCTCTCTCTGCCTGGAAAACCTAGATCATACTGGAAAAGAGAAAGGAAAACTTGAGAGATGGTTGGGGCTAGAGAAATGGCTGCAGGAGCCCAGTAGTTGGAAGCCACATAGTTTTTCCCATCAGTGATGCAAATGACAACTGCTGTGGTTTAGAGAAGGGAAAGATAAGTGAGGACTCACATGGCAGGAAAAGGCCTCATGTAGCACGCACAAGCTTTAGCTAAACAGAGATGTCAAAGAAGAGGATTCCAGGCTGGCAAAACAGCACATGTAAGAAATGGATGTGGTTCTGGCCAGTGGTTCTGGAGCACCTACTCTATGGCAGGCACTTGCTGGTAACAAGCCCGGTAAGAGAGCGGGATGCATTCGGGAGACCTCAAGGAGACTGGCCTAGTGCCACAGTCCGTGGGTGTTTGAAGAATGTTAGGAGATACGGTTAGCAACATTGGGATGGGTAAGTTAGGAAAAGTCTTGAGTCCTCTACCGAAGTCTTTGAAGCCAGTATTCCTCATTCTAGAAATAGAAATGTCTGTTTATTTCAGAGAACTCCCTTTTTTTTTTTTGTTTTTGTTTTTGTTTTGTTTTTTTTAAGATGGAGTCTCATTCTGTTGTGTAGGCTGGAGTGCAATGGCGTGATCTCAGCTCACTGCAACCTCCGCTTCCTGGGTTCAAGCAATTCTCCTACTTCAGCCTCCCAAGTAGCTGGGACTACAGGCACACACCATCAAACCTGGCTAATTTTTGTATTTTTGGTAGAGACAGGGTTTCACCATGTTGGCCAAGCTGTTCTCGAACTCCTGACCTCAGGTGATCCACCTGCATCAGCCTCCCAAAGTGCTGGGATTATAGGCATGAGCCACTGTACCCAGCTTGTTTCAGAGAACTCTTGATAGATTTCCTTCCAAAAGCAGAATCCATATTTCACAGAAAAAACCCAGTACCTGTATGCTACATATGTCTCTGTTGTCATCATTGCTAAACATAATTTATATATAGGATCATATGCCTAGTAGTTCTTGATACCAGTCCCTGTACTCTTTTACTTTTCATTTTTATTTATTTATTTTTTTTTGCTATAGACATGGTCTCAACTGCACATTGTACAAGTGATCTTTAAAATATCATTAGATTTGTTTGGATGAGCAATTAAGAAATTAGGGCTACCCTATTTCACATGTTGTGTTTTCCTAAATCACATTATTAAAATATTCACTTTACTCCAGGAAGATGAGGCTAGAAGGAAGAATAAATGACATGTGTAAAGCAGTCTCCTAAAAATTGAAGAAAAATATAATAATCCCATATCCTGTCTCCATTTCTTCAAGTATCTCCACTCTACCTGTCACATAAGGCCCACCTTAAATCCAGCTTCCTGCATGGTATTATTCCTAGCCTTTCCATCCTCAGTGATTATTCCCCTCCCTGATTTCCTCATGCTTATACATCATTATTTAATTATCATTACTCTTTTTGAGACAGGGTCTTGCTTTGTTGCTCAGGCTGGAGTGCAGTGGCACAATCACAGCTCACTGCAACCTTTACCTCCTGGGCTCAAGTGACCCTCCCACCTCAACCTCCTGAGTAGCTGGGACTATAGGCATGTGCCACCATGATTTTTTTCTTTTTAGATATGGGATCTCACAGTGTTGTCCAGGCTGGTCTCAAACTCCTGGGCTCAAGCAATCCTCCCATCTCAGCCTCCCAAAGTGTTGGAATTACAGGTGTGAGCCACTGAAACCTGCCTCTCATTACTTCTTAGAAACTAACATAATAAGCATTTTGCAAACAAGAAGTAGGTCCTATACATCTTTTATATTACTCACAGTATAGCTAATAATAGCCAACATTTACTGGGTATTAAACCATGCCAAGTGCTTTACATGCACTATTTGAATTAATTCTCACAACTATCCTGTCAGTGCTATCATTACTCCCACTTTACAGATGAGAAAACTGAGACTTAATCAAGATTATATAGGCAGTAAGTAGTGAATGCAAGATTTAAACCCAGGTATTCAGACCCCAGAGTCCATGTACTTAGCTACTTCTCAAAATAATATAAATAGCATTTATTGATTATTATTTATTGATTATTTAGTGTGTTCCAGGCATTGAGTTAAATGCATTACATGGATTATTTCATTTATTTTATATATATATATGGTAAATACTATTATTGTCCCCATTTTAAGAATAAAGAAACTGGCCAGGTATGGTGGCTTACTCCTGTAATCCCACTTTGGGAAGCTGAGGCGGGAGGATCACTTGAGGTCAGGAGTTTGAGACCAGCCTGGCCAACATGGTGAAACCCCATCTCTACTAAAAATACAAAAATTCATTTGATGTGGTGGCACATGCCTGTAGTCCCAGCTTCTTGGGAGGCTAAGGTGGGAGAATCGCTTGAACCTGGGAAGCAAAGGTTGCAGTGAGTCGAGATCGCACCACTGCCCTCGAGCCTGGGTGACAGAGTGAAACTCCATCTCAAAAAAAAAAAAAAAAAAAAAAAAAGATAATGAAGAAATTGAGAGGTAGTGAGGTTTAATGGGTTTGTCAAGATCAGATAGCTAACAGGGGCTAGAACACCTAGAACACAGATTGGGACCAGCTACGACTCTGTCCCACTGAACTGCCACTTAGTATAGTGAGGATAAAGTATGTAATGAAGGCATTCCTAATGTAGGAATGCCTTCTCTATACCACATTCTCATTGCTAGAATTCTCTTACTTCAACCATTTCTTCCATAACAGTTTTCCAGTATCTTAACTGTCCTAGGCTTATCTCAAATAAGATTTATCTTAAAATATGGTCTTCTGAGCTAGAGCAAACAACTCGTGTGGAGTGTGATGAGACCCTACCCTAAGTTTGCTCTCTCAAATGAAATTACAAGGTCCTTAGGCCAGGATCTCTGCCACCCACATTTCCATGCCTTCAGCCCCTAGCACAGAGTGTCATGTCCATTCCCATCTTCTGCCACATGGTCTCTGAAGGTGATGGAGGTCAGGATTTCCATCTTCATAGGAAGTGGAGGTATTAGGAATGCTTTCCATTGTGAATAACAGTTTATCTATTGATGGCTTAAACAAATGGGCTTACAATTTTTATGTAGCAGCAGTCAGGACATACGTGGCTGCTGACATTAGTTTAGTGGTTCACTGATGGTAGAGCAGGCATCTCTGTGATTTACTTGGCCTTTTCTTGCTGGTTACAAGTTTGTAGGAAAGTCATAAAGAAAGGGTGAAGGGCTGTGCGAGTCCTGTTTCTTTTAACAGAAAAACAAAAGCTTTCCCCAAAGCATCTCCAGCCAAGTTCCCCTCTGTCTCCCTGGTTACAGCTGGGTCATGTGGCACCGCCTGCTGCAAGGGAGGCTAAGAAGTCAGGGAACAGGACTGCCATCAGTATAGTTTAGTCCTTTCATAACCCATTGCCTGTGGTAGGACACACTTTTGCCCAGAGCAAGGAAAAGTAAAGAAGTCCTGGATGCTGGAGGGTAGATAATGGTGTATGCCACAGTGGATCATGGAAGTAATCTGTAGCCGTTATACTCAATGTCTAATTTGCTTGAGGAGGAAATTAGTCTTTGGGCAGCAACATACACATCCCATTAAAGCCTTCCTCCGTAGCCTCAACCAGCTGGTATCCATTCCAGATTCCCAGTAGAACTGAAGTCCAGCCATGAATAGAAGCCATGAATTCACCTAGTTTCTGCCAGTCTTTTTCTCAATCATAATTTCCAGCAATCGGAATAGTTATCTCTGTTCTTGGACTCAGACTTGACCCCTAAGAACGAGTGCTGTTTGTTCCTCAGAAGCCCTGCATCGTGTCCCATTCTACCAGATCAGACTTCTTGGTTTTGGACTTTGGCCTGGATGGGATTGTGGTCCTGGCTGGCTTTCTTTTAAGTTATTTTTGCAACTGGGACCTCCCAGCATGCCTTGAAGCTCAAGCCACACCATTTATGACACATAATAGATTACTAAATAAATTCTTATTGAATTGGTTTGAATATTTAAATTCCCAGGATGTCAACTGCTGTTACTAACAGCAATGGCCATCTGTCAGAAATGCTATTAAGGAAGTAACCTCATTCAATGAAGATTTGTAGCAAGCTAATTCCAATGTATTAGGCAATATGGTCAAAGATAAATGAAGTTTCATTTTTTAAAAAGAAACTTTTGAAAGTTCCATACATCAAATAATGAACCACCGCAACAAACAGACAGTGATAAAATAGGACAAGTCTAAATATGGGTTGATCTCGTGCTCTGTGGCCCATTTACACTGAATATTGATGACTGAGGTTTCAGATAAAGTAAGTAGAAGGGGAAATTCATAAGGCTTATAGAATACCAGGAAAGCAAATATGGCAACAGCATGTATGACTCTTGGTATCTATATTCAGAAAAAAAGTCTCATCAGAGGAGTGTAAATACATTTCATAACCCTGATAATTTTATTTAACCCATCATATATCTCTATAGCTTAGAGCTAAGAAGAATGTTTAACCACAATAACCACATTCCCCGAGAGTCCTGGTATACGTGTATCTCTGTAATTCTGCCAACTTTTGATTTTCTATTTTTTTCTTTAATTGGCTTATTGCATATATGTACTACTGAAAGCCATCTCAAAGTCTTTTTTTCAAAAGATAGTTTTATTTGGTGAGAGGAACAGCCCAAGGGGGACAAAGTTCAATTTTTTGTGATCTAGTTTTTTATAAAAGGTAGCATATTCGAATAACTAGAAGCAGATAAATAGGTAGTTAGCATGTGTCTTTCACACTCCACAATTGGATGTTTAACAAGGTTTGACGACGGCAATTACATCGAGATTGAGCTGTCTGGAAAAAGCCTGCACTATAGACATTGTGCCTATGTTGCTAGTTGAGGAAATTTTCATATGCTGTAGTGACTGGGTGTGCATATGTTAGGGGTGTTATTTGGTTATAAAAGTTCAGAAATCCAACTTGCTTTCTTGTTGTCTTGAGGGGGTCTCCTAACCTATTTCGGTAGGGCCATAATTTTTCTCTAGGAGAAAGTCAAGTAGTTGAATGAATGCTTCATTGAGATCTCAGAGCACCACAGCCTGACCAGACATGCAAACTTTGATTGATTTGTAGGAACTTTTGGCACTGTGTTGAAAAGGGTTCTGAGATTTCATCCAGACTCAATGGGAAAGATGCTCTGCTTCATGAATGGGATCTCTCAGGAATGGAGCGAGGGTGTGCAGTGGGAAGCATGGATCCATATGCCATCAGTGCTATGGATCAGTGTCACCTCTGAGAGCTTATGAAACCACAGATTGCCATATTTTAATAAGTCTGGGGTGGGACCTAAGAATTTGCATTTCTAACCGGTTCCCAGGTGAGTCTGCTCTAGGAACCGCATTTTGAGAACCACTGCTATAGGTTACAGCAGAAATCATTTTAACCAGGACATTTTAAAAACAATTTTTAACAATTGTTTCCAATTGCTCTAGTCATAGAAAAGCCTTGATATATCACATGAGGATTTTCTGATTTTAATTAACAAACATCTCCACGGAGTCACTTGGAAGTGTTAGTGCCCTATAGAAATTGATGTTCTAGATGAGTTGTTCGATATTGATCATTTGAAGTTTAAGGAGATGTTAGCTAAAAACATCAATTTGGAGTTTAGTCTAACTAATATAGAATAGCACTCTCAGTGCCAATTAGATAACAAGAAAAGCTGCATTGCAAGCCCTCCCCTGGTGCATGGATCCTGTAATCAGTATACAAGAGGACGTCTGTCCTCCTATTTGCTGGGCCTTTGGGATGGCATCCTGCTCATCTAACAGGCATTAACATAGTTAATAACTTAGTGCATGACAAGCAGATGGAGTTTTACATATGTTATCACATTTACTATATCACCACATTTAATGTTCATATCAATTCATTCTCCAGGTAAGAAAACAGAGGCTCAAAAAGGTTACATAACTTCCTCAAGGTCATAGAACTTGTAACTGGCATAACTGAGACTTAAATCCAGGCAGTCCACCTCCAGGGCTTAAACTCCTAGGCCCTGCACAAGATTGTAACTGCAGGCCACGTTGAATTAAACAAGCATTGGTTAAAGAGCAGAGCCTTGTTTTCATAACACTTGAATCAGACATTGGATGTTCAAAGATGATTTCTCTCCACTTTGATTCTAGAAATGCTATTTTAATACCACCTTGGTTCACCTAGGGTTCAAGACCAGCCTGGCCAACATGGTGAAACAGGGTTGTCCTTACATGGCAAGGCCACCCCAATGACCTGTATGGGATCTGCTTCCAAAAAAGCTCCACACATGTCATGCATTGTCAGTCATATCTCCTTTTATTATTATTATTATTTTTTTGAGATGAAGTCTCGCTCTTGTCCCCCAGGCTGGAGTGCAATGGCGCGATCTCAGCTCACTGCAACCTCCGCCTCACAGGTTCAAGCGATTCTTCTGCCTCAGCCGCCCGAGTAGCTGGGATTACAGACACCTGCCACCATGCCCAGCTAATTTTTGTATTTTTAGTAGAGACGGGGTTTCACCATGTTGGCCAGGCTGGTCTCAAACTCCTGACCTCAGGTGATCCACCCACCTCGGCCTCCCAAAGTGCTGGGATTACAGGCGTTAGCCACCGCACCTGGCCTCATACCTCCTTTTAAATATGCCAAGGGACTTGGTCATTTAAAGGAATCTACTGGCAAATGTTCTTCTTGGAAAATGAAAGATTTTGTAATTAAAATAATCACCCCATGTTCTGTTTTTTACAAGTCTGATTATATTTTAGCACCAGATTTTTCTTGGCAGGTGGAAGGTGTCTGGTTTGAGTGGGAAGAGTATTGCCCAGAGGAGAGACTAAGAGCCAAAGCTAGAAGCCCATTTGCTATTTTATCCTTATCCTTCTTGTTCTTCAATCTAAGGAGCAAGATGGGACTTAGACCAGGAGTGGACATGATTGCACTGACCGAGGATTTCTCTGTCTGGGTAGTTGTCACTCCTATGCCAAAAGAGCGTTACCTTGCCCACCAAGACTCCCCACAGTGGTTTCCACCGCAGCCTGCTTGGCACACCGAACCAAATCAACAGCATCTGCAAGGCCAGCATCATTCATGTTTTGGTAAAGATCAAGGAAATGAGAGGAAAAGGGTAATCAGAAATTCTCATACCAGAAGCCAAAGAAATTCTTTGTAATTTTTCCATGTATTCATCTGAGGGGGAATTATCAAAAACTTCAATGTCACTTTCTTACAGAGGGTTCTCATCTTGGGAATCTTAATGGGATTCTTCTCACGCATTTGAGTTTGCCTGGATTTGTCTCTGTGTACTTAACTGATTCACAGAGCCATTTTGTGTTGTGAAAACTCTAGGGTCATGAATAGGGAAGGGGCAGTAAGACAATCCCAGACTAAAGCCTGGGGTCCTGGAATAATTGCTCTGTGGCATTGGCTTCTTTATGAATCTTCACTTATTGTTGTTTAAATTTATGTTTAAAAACCTGAAAAGCTCTGTCTAATACCTGAGCCATATATAGATCAATGCTTCTCAAACTTTTCCATTGAGGTGCCTCTAATGCAGCAGAAGGGTTGAACCACACTCTGCCCCTGGCCCTCCCACTCTCCTGATGTCTGTGGGTCATGGAAGGAAATCTGCGACATATCCTCCTCCAAGTCTTCTATTTTAGCTTAAAAATTCGCATAGATATTGCACCCCTGCTTTGGGCCTTGGAGGGTGAGTTACCCTAGCACAGGAAGATGGTCAGAGGTTGAGCTTCCACCATCTGAGCTGTCAGATTAACTCTGGATCATCTAACCCTAGCTTTGAGGTCACATGTGAGGCCAAATGTCTCAGGGTCATAGGTCTATTACATTTACTTACAGCAGTAAAAGTAACCGGACTGTTACCATCAGAATTATGAACTACAGATCCTTTCTCAAATATGAACAGATACACTGAAATCAGTGTAAGTTCTACTGATTATGGTAAGGGTAGAGGGAGAGCATGTGTATAACTTTAGCCTGACAGAAGGATTTGTAAAAATTCAGATGTCGGGCCTGGTGTGGTGGCTCGCGCCTGTAATCCCAGCACTTTGGGAGGCCGAGGTGTGTGGGTCATTTGAGGTCAGGAGTTCGAGACCAGTCTGGCCAACATAGTGAAACCCCGCCTCTACTAAAAATACAAAAATTAGTCGGGCCTGGTGACAGGCGCCTGTAGTCCCAGCTACTCAGAAGGCTGAGGCAGGAGAATCGCTTGAACCTGGGAGGCGGAAGTTGCAGTAAGCCAAGACCGCACCACTGCACTCAAACCTGGGCAACAGAGCAAGACTCTGTCTTAAAAAAAAATAAATAAATAATAAAAAAATTCAGACATCATAAAATGAGGGTTAAAGGGAAAATAATATGTATGTGATGGCCATATTCTGCAACCTTAAATATGTGGAAATATTTTTACAAGGCAGGGGAGTGGGGTATGGAGAGAGCATGTACAAGAGCATTTTAACTCTTTTCAGGGATCATCTTGGTGGCAGTGGGATTGGTATTGTTAAACTGAGTCTGTTGTGTATAAGGTGGGATGAGGCAGTAGCACCCTGGGAAATGCACAGCTCAGATATGCTGCCTTTGGGAGCATAGTTGAGTGATAGCCCCAGCTTCCATGCTCTGGAACCACCCCCTCCACCTACCTAGTTGGCACTGGGGCCATGCCCCCAGGGCTGCTCCCAGCCATTGAATGAGCAGAGCAGTACATTAGTGCAGATCTGCTCCTACCAGAGGCAGGACTTCTGCAGCAGGTGACTGTGGCTGCAGGAGTTCCCCTCTGCCTGGCCAAAGGTTTCTTAGAACTGAGCTGCAGTCTAGGGCTCTTCCTATCCATCTATTTCCCTTCTTTGGTCCCTTTCTCAGTGTTAGACTTGCATTGCATCTCTGCTCTTCTTGTTTCCTTCCCTTTGCCCTTCCCAGACATATCCCTACCAAAAGCTCTTGCATGGTTAATCCCATCTTGGTGTTTGCCTCTTCAAATGCCCAAAGCAACATAAAAATAGATGGGCAATTATGAGATGTTCTAATTGCTAGGATTCTCAGTATGAAAAGAGTTATACACATAATGTGGAATAAGTTAAGTAAGTCCTGAATGTGACTTGGAAGGAGCAGCATGAATTTATGAGGTTGTTTGTTTGTTTGTTTGTTTGTTTGTTTTTTGAGATAGGGTCTTACTCTGTTGCCCAGGCTGGAGTGTAGTGGCACAGTCATGGCTCACTGCAGCCTCGACCTCCTGGGCTCAAGTGATCCTCCTGCCTTTAGCCTCCCAAGTAGCTAGGACTACACGTGTACCACCACACCCAGCTATTTTTATTTTTTATTTTTTGTAATATGATATGTTGCCCAGGCTGTTCTCAAACTCTTGGCCTCAAGTGACCTTCCTGCCTTGGCCTCCCGAAGTGTTGGGATTACAGGCGTGAGCCACAACACTCTGCTGGTATTTTATCTTTAAGTATCAACCAGCCTCCAGGATGGTCCCTAATGTTTCTCTCCTTTTCACATTCATGTCCTTATGTAGTTTCCTCCCCCTCCCCCAACCTGTGTAAGCAATAGGACATCATGGGATTGACAGGGTGTTACTTCCAGTGCTAGATCGTAAAAAACATTGTGGCTTCTGCGTTGTTCTTTTTGATCACTTGCTTCTGGGGACATTAGGGCATTCAAGCAGCCCTGAGGAGAGGTCCACATGGTGAGCCACTGAGGGCCTTGCCAAGAGCCAGCACCAACGGTCCAGGTTTGGAGTGTACCACCTTGGAAGTGAATCTTCCAGTCCAGTCAAGCCTTCAGATGACTTCAGAACCGTCCATGTAAGCCACTCTTGGATTCCTGACCCACAGAAACTGTTGGAGGTAATAAATTTTATTGTTGTTTTAAGAAGCTATGTTTTGAGGTAATTTGTTACACAGCACTAAATAACTAACACGCACACTTATAACTTTGTTAATTGAAAAGGCCTAAAAACAATGTCCTACCCAGTCAAAATGGGCTCCATTAGAGTTTAGATAATAGTCTTGAAATATCTATTCACTCTGAAAGAAGCCAGGCCTTCTTAAAGAAGTAACTTAGGGTAGGAAATGTACCAAATGAACCTGGAATGTATTATTATTCCAAATAGTTCTCTCAAAAGGACCCAGGAACCAACTTGAAGTGGCATCTATTAGTTCAAGATGGCAGGATTTGAACTTCAATAATGACAATAACTGCAGTGGATTGAAATCCTGTCAAATATGTTTAAATCCATGAGTCCAAAATGCTATTTAAAAATAATTGGTCACCTTTGGAGGTTGATGGGGAACTAATTGATTATCTTGAAAACTGGTTAAAAAAATAGGAATCAAGCATTTACTGGCATTTTCTATATAAATTGTACCACTGGATTAGTAGATGAGGGAAACATCTCTTTATAAAAGTATTTTAGGCCAGGCGCTGTGGCTCATGCCTGTAATGCCAGCACTTTGGGAGGCCAAGGCCGTGTGGATCGCTTGAGCTCAGGAGTTCAAGACTAGCCTGGCCAACATGGTAAAACCCCATCTCTGCTAAAAATACAAAAATTAGCTGGGCATGGTGGCAGGTGCCTATAATCCCAGCTACTGGAGGCTGAGGCAGGAGAATTGCTTGAACCCAGGAGGCAAAGGTTGCAGTGAGCCAAGATTGTGCCACTGCTGCACTCCAGCCTGGGCAACAGAGCAAGACTCTGTCTCAAAAAAAAAAAAAAAAAAAAAAAAAAAAAACCCAACAAAAAACGATTTTAGCTAATAATGAAAAATGAAAAAGAAATGATAGAATTAGAACATCACCACTTTGTAACCCCCAATAAATTAATGGATTTAGGCATTATCAACAGTTTCTAACATCACAGACAGACAAACATGTGCCTCCTGATTGAAAAAACAGAACATCACCTGTAGTCTTGCCAGTGAGATCAAACTGAAGTCCAATTAACCTCTGGATCCAGCTGCCAATTTGCAGGAAATAGAGGAGAGAAGCATCTGTTGAACTGCACCATGAGTATACACTCAGCAAAGGCCAAACTGTGGAAAATGATACAGGTCAAACAGCCTGGATTCTTTAACAGGTAAATTGTAAGGAAAAGAAGGGGCTGAAGGGGAAAACTTTATATTGAAAGAGACTTAAATGAAATTTTTTAAATGGGCAGGAATAAACTACAGTGTTTAAGAGTGCATACTTTAGTAATAAAATGACAAAGAAACAGAAGGAAGTGATTCCTCTAAAACAGTGGTTCTCAAGCTTTAAGTTTTCATGAGAATCACCTGGAAAAAAATTTAAAACATGGATTGCTGGGCTCCACTCCAAGAGTTTTTTATTTCTTAGGTCTGTGATGGGGCCCAATAATTTGCTTTTCTATCAAGATTCTAGACACTTTGAGAACCACTGCTATAAAAGTCGGGACAGTGATTTCTTGGGATGGGAGGGTAAGGATGGAGGGAAGGGACTATAATTGAGACAGGATATGTGGAGGGGCTTCCGGGATAACTGTCCTAGTTCTATTTCTTGACTTTGGTGTTGGTTATAAGAAAGTTGGACATGTAATAATTCATTAGGCTATACATTTGTTTCATGTGTCTTTTGTATCTGTTTTTTCTGTTTGTTTGTTTTAGACGGAGTCTCACTCTGTCACCCAGCCTGAAGTGCAATGGTACAATCTCAGCTCACTGCAACCTCCGCCTCCCGGGCTCAAGCAATTCTCCTGCCTCAGCCTCCTGAATAGCTGGGATTACAGGCACGCGCCACCACGCCCAGCTAATTTTTGTATTTTTAGTAGAGACGGGGTTTCACCATGTTGCCCAGGCTGGTCTTGAACTCCTGACCTCAGGTGATCCACCCACCTCAGCCTCCCAAAGTGCTGGGATTACAGGCATGAGCCACCGTGCCTGGCCTTTTGTATCTGTTTTATTTTTTAAATAATAAGATTAAAAATAAATATTCTGCATGATTAAACAAATACAGATTTAAATTTTTACAGTCCAATTGAGTGATTTCCTCATGTTCCAAAACCAGGAAGTAGGTGTGGGACATCTATCTCCGTATTGCATACACAGTCTGGATTCTAGTTGTAGACTCCATATGGGCTGTCATACACGCTACTACAGAAATGAGAGAAATCCTTGGGAAATGGAACCATCTCACACATGAGAGACATCTCTGACAACTTATTCATAACTGAATACTTCTCATTTATCTTTACCAGTAAGTGATGTTTCTGAAGCACCAATGAAAATGAAGTCCTGAAGTCCTGTGCTCAATATGAAATGTTGGAAGTTAGAAGAAAAAAACAAAACTTGGATCCAATCTCAAGGCACTTTTTGTTTAATGGGAAGAAGTGGATTATTTTAAAAGCTACAAATAAAGTTACATAAAAGTAGCAAAGTTGATATACTTTCTGTTGCTCTGTTCCATATATTTTATTTTAAAAATTTATAAGATTATCAATTTGGAAGTCATATTTATAACCTAAGTCCAAAAATATTCTTAAAATATTTATGAAAAAAGTTCTGGTGAAGTCTTTATGATAACATCTTTACAGTATCTTATTTTTATTTCATCTTGCTTCCTTTGTATTACCATCAAATATTTATTCAGTATCTTCTCTTTGCAAGATAGTGTATTGAGGGTTTTACAATAGCTTGATTGTTATTAAATTAAAATAAATAACCTAGCCATATTGCCATTTGGCTAAGGGGCATAATGTTAATATTAAGTGATAATTTTCTTATCTCTTGCCTCTCTCCTACTTCAATGTCAGCAAGATGATCACAGTGTTCAGCTTTTCATTTTCTTTGTATTTCTTCTCTTTGAAGTTGGTATTACATGGACAATACAATTGTTATGAAATTGTGTAGATGCCTCCAGAATGCCAGTACCTCCGAGGAATGGCCAGGAATTGACAATTTATGTACTAAGGACCTCTTTTATGGTTTTTAACAATTTTTTTGGATCACACCTTTGGGAAATCAGAGGAGAGATATAGACTTGAAACTCAAAAGATGCCCCAATGCACCCACAAAACTTCATGACATTTCTAAGCTGTTTGCCAGCACGCATGCATTTCCCCTTGGGCTCAAGGACCAGTTGGAGAATATCTAGTTTCGTTATATTATACCATGCGGAGTGTTGGGAATAGAAATAGAGAAACAAATTTTACCTGTTTTCCAGGAGCTTTCACACTCAGTAAAGAACAAATTAGACAAAAATATTTTATTATGATGAGACAATTTTTTTTTTTTCAGACAAGGTCTTGTTCTGTAGCCCAGGCTGGAGTGCAGTGGTGCAATCACACTCACTGCAGCCTTGACCTCCCCAGCTCAGGTGAGCCTCCCACCTCAGCCTCCTGAGTAGCTGAGAGTATAGCTGTGCACCACCATGCCCAGCTAATTTTGTAATTTTTTTGTGGAGACAGGGGTTTGCCATTTTGCCCAGGATGGTCTCAAACTCCTAGATTCAAGCAATCTTCCTGCCCTGGCCTCCCACAGTGTTGGGATTACAGGCGGGAGCCACCATCCCTGGCCAGATGTTTTAATTGAACTATGTATGGATAAAAGTCTTTTGGTAAACAACACTATCATTTTTATATGTTTATGCCTTTTTCCAAATAAAATGCCTTAGAGCTTTTTATAAATCATATTATCCAGATGGAAAAACAAGGAAAAAAGAGATCCTGAGCTTGCCAAATATGACTCAGCAAGTCAGTGACATGCCTAGAAATAGAAATGAGAAACGAAAGAAGTTTTCAACAATCTACCTTGAAACAAGCAATCTCTGCACTTGCTCAGCAGTGCAGTTGGAAAAGAGGTAACTATGACACTGTAGGAGGAGGAAGCCAGTGAGTCAGCTCAACGTGGAAACTGTGTTTGAAGAGAGCCCTCCTGTGTGGAACAGTGCAGAAAAACTCTGACTCCATGCTTTAATCACTTCCTCCTTTGTGGCTGGAGAGCCATTGTCAGAGGCATTTAAACCAGAATGACTCCATCTTGAATAGGGGCTGGGTAAAATAAGGCTGAGACCTGCTGGACTGCAATCCCAGGAGGTTAGGCATTCTTAGTCACAGGATGAGATAGGAGGTCACAAGATACAAGTCACAGGCCGGACGCTGTGGCTCACACCTGTAATCTCAGCACTTTGGGAGGCTGAGGGGGGGTGCAGATCACTTGAGGTCAGGAGTTCGATAGCAGCCTGGCCAACATGGTGAAACTCCGTCTCTACTAAAAATACAAAAATTGGCCGGGTGTGGTGGCACACACCTGTAATCCCAGCTACTCGGGAGGCTGAGGCAGGAGAATCACTTAAACTCTGGAGGTGGAGGTTGCAGTGAGCCGAGATTGCACCATTGCTCTCCAGCCTGGGCAACAGAACGAAACTCCATCTCAAAAAAAAGAAAAGAAAAAAAAAAAAGACACAGGTCACAAAGACCCTGCTGATAAAACACATTGTGGTAAAGAAGCCGGCCAAAACCCACCAAAACTAAGATGGTAACGAAAGTGACCTCTGGTCGTCCTCACTGCTCATTATACGCTAATTTATAATGCATTAGCATGCTAAAAGACGCTCCCACTGGCACCTTGACAGTTTACAAATGCCATGGCAACATTTGAAAACTACTCTATATAAAAAGGGGAGGGATCCTCAGTTCCAGGAAATCTCTGCCTCTTTTCAAGAAAACACAAGAATAATCCATCCTTTGTTTAGCATATAATCAAGAAATAACTTTAAATATACTCCGTTGAACAGCCCATGCTGCTGCTCTGCCTGTGGAGTAGCCTTTCTTTTATTCCTTTACTTTTTTTTCTTTCTTTTTTCTTTTTCTTTTTCTTTTTTTTTTTTTTTTTTTTTTGAGATGGAGTCTCACTCTGTCTTCCAGGCTGAGTGCAGTGGTGCGATCTCGGCTCACTGCAACCTCCACCTCCTGGGTTCAAGCGATTCTCCTACCTCAGCCTCTTGAGTAGCTGGGATTACAGGCACATGCCACCACACCCAGCTAATTGTTGTATTTTTAGTAGAGACGGGGTTTCACCATGTTGGCCAGGCTGGTCTGGAACTCCTGACCTCAGGTGATCCAACCGCCTCGGCCTCCCAAAGTGCTGGGATTATAGGCGTGAACTACCTCGCCTGGCCTATTTCTTTACTTTCTTAGTAAACTTGCTTTCATTTTATGGACTTTCTCTGAATTCTTTCTTGCCTGAGGTCCAAGAACCCTCTCTTGGGGTCTGGATGGGGACACCTTTCTGGTAACACCCAGCCAAGCTTTATGCAACTGCCTATCCTGTCACCTGCATTTTCTTTGTCCTATGACACAGAATCTGTCACTTCTGACTTTTTAGAACGGCTTCACTTCCTGCAGGTGGACCAACTGGGTGGAGGTGGAAGGTGAAACTCGTAAACTCTGTCCTGCGGTCTTTGGGGGAAGTTTGTCATGCTGGCTTGAGAGCCCTGCCAGTGCCCTGGTGTGTTTCTGTCTGCAGGGCCTAGCCTAGGGCCTGGCTCACATGTGGATGCTTAAGAAAGGTATGTTGTGAAATTGAGGCAATACTTCACGACAGGTAAAGTCATAAAATCATGTAATCTGTGAAAGGAAAATAAATATTGGAACCCCAAAATCACTAAGCCAAAGGGAAAAGTCAAGCTGGGAACTGCTTAGGACAAACCTACCCTCCATTCTATTCCTAAAAAAGATAGCTACTAAGATTTTTTAAAAGCTACATACCTCTCTCACAAGGAATTTCCTTGAAGAGAAAGGACAGAGAGAACTCAGTCACACCTCTGCTCACTGAGATAAATGCGTATCTGGTTGCCTCCCTTGGAAAGGCTAATCAGCAACTTGAAAGAATGCAACTGTTCGTCTCTTACCTATGACCTGGAAGCCCCCTCCCTGCTTGGAGTTGTCCCGCCTTTCTGGATGGAACTGATGTGCATCTTACATATATTGATCTCATGTCTTCCTAAAATGCAGAAAACCAAGCTGTACCCCCGCCACCTTGGACACATGTAGTCAGGACTTCCTGAGGCTATGTCATGGGCACCCTCCTTAACTTTGGCAAAATAAACTTCCTAAATTGACTGAGACCTGTCTTAGATATTTGGGGTTCACAAATCATACTTGCCAGAATGTGTTAGAGTTGTGTGCTTAGTATTCTCTGCTAAATTGTGGTTTCCTAAAAGGCAAATATGACATTCATTTATTTCTGAATCCTTAATACCTAACAGATGACCTGGAGCACAGTAGATAGTTGCCCAATAAATTAATGAATGAGTGAATGTAGAATCATGGAGAGTTTGTATTATGCTAGTTCTTTTTTTAAAAAAAAAGTTAGAGATGGGGTCTCATTATGTTGCTCTGGCTGGTCTTGAATTCCTGGGCTCAAGTGATCCTTCAGCCTCAGCCTCCTGAGTGGCTGGGACTACAGGATCAAGTCCCCATACCTGCCTTCTAGTTGTTGATTTGGGGGTGGGGGGAGAAGGAGTTGCATAGAAAAAAGATTCAAACCAAATTGTTAAGGACATTTTTGCTAGCCTAGTTCTTATTTTTTTAAAAAAATTCAAGCAGCAACCAAAAGTACAAAGAATTAAGTAATACACCAAAATTGCCTGAATCCAAAAGTAACCATGATGAAAATTTGGTTAATATCATTTCAGATATCTTTTAATATATAAGTTAACAGATAATATTTTTAAGTATTAAACTGATCCATTCTAATTTCTGTCTTAATTGGTTCCTCAGTTGCCTTCCACCCTTAGGGTTGACTTACTGAGTCACGAGGCTTATTGTTCTGGTAAAGAATAGGTAGGTACTACTTGGAACAGGGAACATTGATCACAGCTAACTTCCTTGACCTCTTAATTTCAAACAAGAAAATATTCATGAAAGACAGACATGCTTAATTCAGAAAAGAATCCTTAAGCTATATTATCTTCCCCTTTATCATCAGGACTAGCTCTGGAGGGCTCTGACCAGTTTCTTCTCTAGCATAGAGTAGACCTCCCTCCTGCACGGCTCATGCCACGAGGCTGGCTCCTCTAGGAAGAGCATGTCAGAAGAAGGATGTGCTACAGATGAAATGGAAACCCCACACCTGCCCCTTCTGGCTGCAGGAATGGAAGGATCAGACATGGGTTGAGGAGCTTAGACACAAGGTTCTGGTTTTTGACCTCCCTTAGAACCAAACTTGGTTGCAGGAAAGGAGGAAAGAGAGCCTTTCTTTCTTTCTCTCTTTCTTTCTTTCTCTTCCTTTCTTTCTTTTTTAGGAAAGAGAGCCTTCCTTCCTTTCTTTCTATCTTTCCCTTCCTTCCTTCTTTCTTTCTTTCCTTTCTTTCTTTCCTTCTTTCTTTCTTTTCTTTCTTTTTCTTTCTTTCCTTTCTTTCTTCCTTCCTTCCTTCCTTCCTTTCTTTCTTTCTTTCTTGCTTGCTTTCTTGCTTTCTTGCTTTTTCTTTCACAGGGTCCTATCTCCCCAGCTGGGATGCAGTGCTGTGATCACAGCTCGTTCAACTTCCTGGGCTCAAACGATCCTCCTGCCTCAGCCTCCTGAGTAGCTGGGACTACTAGGTGCACAGCACCACACCCAGCTAATTTTTGTATTTTTTTTTGTAGAGATGGGGTTTTGCCATGTTGCCCAGGCTCGTCTTGAACTCCTGGGCTCAAGGAATTCACTTGCCTCAGCCTCTCCAAGTGCTGGGATTACAGGTGTGAGCCAGGAAAGGGAGTCTTAAAGCATCCAGATAGCTAAAGGAAGTGCAGGAACTCAGAACTCCAGGGATTCCCCCAAAACACTGCAAGGAGGTATCAGTCTTTAGCATAGCCCTGCACTCACCCACCTTTAACGTGGCACAAGATAATAATGTAGCAGCATTAACTCTCTACAGATAACTAAACAAACTATCTGCAGGTAACTGAACTATCTACTAATATGTAGATAATTTAACCTGAGATAGTGTTTCTCATCCCCCCATGGCTTGTATGTGGCCTTCAGAGGACCCAGAAGCTCTTGCATGTTTAGGGGCAGAGAATGCAGAGATGTTGATAGGGTTGGTGGACAGGCAGAAACCTGAATGTAGAGACGAATGGCCAGGACCATAAACTCCAGTGGCAGGTATCTTAGAAGCCATCAGTCTAGGACACTGCCTAGAGCAGCCAGTTCACAGCAGAGCTCAATGATGTTGGGAGGATTCAGCATGGATTTGAGGACCTCGTCTTCCTGTCCCCACTGATGACACTATGATGTCATACAATCCACCTTACCCCATAAAGGCAGACCCTACCTAGGAGAGGAGCAAGGAGAAGGAGAGGACATTCAAGGGACCGAAAACTTACCTCAGTGAACTCCTGACTTCATTCCATTAACTTTAACAAATTGCCATAAAATTTGGCCCCCTTTTTCCTTGTATTCCAGCCACCAAAACAACCATTGCCGCATGGCTGAAGGAGCTTGTAAGGAATATCAGAACATTCATTTATTTATTTTTCCTTGATTCTGCATCAGATAAAAATTATTTTTCTAACAGAATTTGAAAAAGACAGTGTTTTTTCTTTGTATATATTAGTATAGTAGGTGTGTAGCCCAGTTATATACAGGTACAGTATATATAGAGAAATATAAACAATTGTATCAACATGTGATCAGATTGTCTATATCCATCAGGGTTGCACATAACAGAAGCACTCTTGTAGTTTAAGTAGGCAGGGCATTGGGTACAAATGCAATTATGGAAGGGTTGGGGGAGTAGGCTTCAGGTTTGGGCTTTTAGAAATGACTCCCAGAATAAACCTGCAGAACTGGTGTGTCAGGCAGTGTCTACCTCTGCCACAGTCAGGAATCTGTGGAACAGGAAGCTACTGTCCCAAATTCAGCCTCTAGGATTATGCCATTGTGGTAGGCCAAAAACAGCCCTCCAAAAGATACCCATTTTTTGATTCCTAGAACCTGCGAATATTACCTTGGACATAAACAAGGTCTTTGCAGATGTGATTGAGGATCTTGACATAGGATTATCCTGGATTATCAGAGTGGGTCCTAAATGCAATCACGTGTATCTTATAAAAAGGAGGCAGAGGGATGTTTAACACTGATAGAAAAGGAGGCTGGGTGCAATGGCTCACGCCTGTAATCCTAGCACATTGGGATGCTGAGGCTGGTGGATCACTTGAGGCCAGGAGTTTGAGACCAGCCTGGCCAATATGGAGAAATCTGTCTCTACTAAAAATACAAATATTAGCTGGATGTGTTGGTGGGAGCCTGTAATCTCAGCTACTCAGGAGACTGAGACATGAGAATCGCTTGAACCCAGGAGGCAAAGGCTGCAGTGAGCCGAGCTCATGCCATTGCACTCCAGCCTGAGCGACAGAGCAAGACTGTCTAAAAAAAAAACCCAAACAAAAACCAAAAACAAATAAACAAACAAACAAACAAGCAAAAAACACTGATAGAAAAGGAGAAGGTGATTGAAGATGGAGGGAGAGTGTTGTGGCTGCAAACCAGGGGGTGCCGGTAGCCACAAGAAGATGGAAGAAGCAAGGAATGGATTTTCCCCTAGAACCTCTGGAGGGAGCCTGGCCTGGCTGCCACCTTAGTTTCAGCCCAGGGATACTGAGTTTGGATGTTTGGTCTCCAGAACTGTAAGAGAATAAATTAAAGCCACCAAATATATGGTCATTTGTTTCAACAGCTATAGGTAATGAATATACCACCTCAGTGTGATCTGGGCACAAGGAAGCCACCACTTCAGTGATGGCTCCAGGAACCATGGGGTTACCTTAGCTTCAATCCAGGAGTCAAGAAGCCCCACCAGAACTATGGGCTCCAGAGCCATGGCATAACTCTTGGAGCTCTAGCACCGATGTCTCACTTGCCATCATCTTTTCTTCACTGAACTGCTGAATTCTAGTCTCACAAAAGTGCATCTGACTGGTGACTACTGAATCTCTTTGAAATAAAAGCTGCAAGGGAGTCTGGAAATACAGACACAGGAAAACACAGTAGACTAAGGATAGAAGAGACATTAAATAATCCAATCAATTGCATCTACCATAAGATACATGCTATTTTTAGTAAACTATTAAATTTACTACTACTTAAAAAAGAAAGAAGAAATTAAGGTGAAATAGAAAAGAGCCAAACTTTAGATAAATATATCTTTACCACTCAAATATATTACTTCCTAAGAGTTCCTTACAATTAAGGAGAAAACTTTTTTTTTTTTTTTGAGCTGGAGTCTTGCTCTGTCACCCAGGCTGGAATGCAGTGTCACAATATCGTCTCATTGCAACCTCTGCCCCCTGAGTTAAAGCAGTTCTCCTGCCTCAGCCTCCCCAGTAGCTGGGATTACAAGTGCGCACCACCACGCCCGGCTAATTTTTGTATTTTAGTAGAGATGAGGTTTCACCATGTTGGCCAGGCTGGTCTGGAACTCCTGACTGCAAGTGATCCGCCTGCCTTGGTCTCCCAAAGTGTTGGGATTACAGGAATGAGCCACCACGCTTGGCCATAAAACATTATTTTTAAAAAAGACAAAACATAATAGGTTGGAGTGTTCATAAACACATTTCAATTTTAGATATTTGGACTTTGTAGTATACATGCATAACTTGTTCCCAACCCTTCTCCTAATACTACTCAATTTTGACCATATTAATTTTACCTTCTTAAAGTGTTAATATTTGCATTGCATTCACTTCTATAGCATAAATCTCATGTGATTTAATGATAAGTTCATATTCTTTTACCCTGAAATTTCCATTTCTTACTGCTTTATTTTGATTCATCTCCTAGTTGCCTGCATTACAATTTTATCAACAAGGCATTTTTTCAAGAATGGTGCATGGTAATGTATTCCCTGAATTCTTGCATGCTTGAGACTCTCCACCCGTAGCCTTCATACTGATAATCTTCATACTGATAATCTGGATAAAATTCTAAAGTCACAAGTCTTTCCCTCTGAACTTGGTAAATATTTTTTCGCTGTCATCTAGCATCAAGCATTGTGACAGTTTCCTTTCTCTTTCTTCTGTTCTTCCCCTACATTCCTTTCTTCCTCCCTCCCCCCAGCCCCCACTTTCAACTACAGTTTACCCACTCATTGCCTGGCTGACTGGATTCTATTCTTGAGCCTTTTCAAAATTTCTGGCAAGAAATTGTATTTTTCTCCTTGTTTGGTTGCTGCTAATGAAAACTGTATGTTGACTGGTAAGTTTTTTTAAAAAATGTCTTTCTTTTGTTTTAGAGAGGGCAGGTTTTATTATTTGCATATTAATCTGGAAACCAGTTCTTCTTCTTGTCTTTATCTGAACCTCTTCAAGGACTCATTTTGAGGATTAGTATTAGAAGCTCCATTTGGTAGCCAGGTCCTGGGGCTCCTCTTGGTCATAAATGTTGAAGACGCACAAAGCCAGAATGTCCCTACAGGCTGCTTCTCTCAGCTAGTACAGAATATGCTCCTATTGCAAGTAGCAACTTGAGAAATGGCCCTTATATATCTGAAAATAGCTCTCCTGTTTCCACTGTCTTCACGTTTTGAAGCTAGGTGTTTCCGGATCCTTTCCACACTATCTCCATCTTCATCATTTCTATTCACCACCATTCGTCTTAAAATGCGATTTCCTGCACAGAACACTGCAGCTATGGTCTCATTAAAGCAGGGCCCAGCAGCTCCTGGCCTTCCTTTGTTTTGGACCCTCTAAGTTCATTAATATGGCTCAAGGTCATGTTAATGTTTTTGACAGCCGTATTTCACCATTTACCCATTAAATTCTGTAAATAAAACTGCTAAGCCTATTTTTTTTTTTTTTAACATGTGTTGTTGTTAAGCTGTCTCGCTCCCATCTGGTATTTGTGTAGCTACTTTTATTCCCTTGTTGTTTGTTGTTTTGTTTTTAGACCTTCGGTTGTTCTTTCCACTTAAGTTCATTATTTTAAATTCTGCCTATCATTCTGGACTGTGGCTATTTTGGATAATAATGTTATTTTCTGATGCACTGGCAATAGCTTCATGTCATAAGAGCATCACCAGCGTCCTCATCTAGCTAGTTGTAACAGTTTTGGAGTCCATCAGGTGTAGGTTTAAGTTCTGGTTCCTCTACTTATTAGTTATGTGATGTTGAACAAGCTAATTGTTCATTCCAAGCCTCAGTTTTCTCATTTATGAAGTGGTGATAAAAAATAATACCTACTTTATAGAATTAAAGTGCTTAGCACTGTGCTTAGCATATGTTAGGCACTTAATAAAAAGTAATTATTATTAGCATTATTGATTAAAATGCTAAAAAGGAGCTGACAGAAAAGAGCCTCTTGGCAGGCCCTTAGAAATTCCCCCAAGGTTTGCATTAACTCTATAACCAACAACCTTTGGGGATGGTCTTAGCAGTTTTGCATCTATTAATGGCATCATCAAAGAACGTTCATTTTGTTTGCAAGGTTATAACAAAAGATGTGACAAATATGTAGCTCAAATCCAAGTGAACTCTACTGTAACATTCCATTAACAGCCTACAGAAAAGGAAACAAGGTTGGTCTGGCCTTGCTCTCTCCTGGGGAACCCTTGCTTGCTGGTCTCTGGGGTTCACTGCTTCCCTTTATAGGAGCTAATGAGTGATTTTTTCAGCAGATGTCCACCTCACTAACCTATAGAAGTTGTATAGTAGTCCATTCTCACGCTGCTAAGAGTGGGTAATTAAGTAAAGAGTTTTAATCGACTCACAGGTAAGAGTGAGTAATTAAGGTAAGAGGTTTAATTGACTCACAGTTTTACTTGTCTGGGGAGACCTCAGGAAAATTACAATCATGGCAGTAGGCAAAGGAGAAGCAAGGACCTTCTTCACAAGGTGGCAGGGGAGAGACAGCATGCAAGGGAAGCTGCCACTTTTAAACCATCAGACCTCATGAGAACTCCCTCATTATCACGAGAACAGCATGGGTGAAACCACCCCCATAATCAAATCACCTCCCACCAGATTCCTCCCTCAACTCTTGGGGATTACAGTTCAAGATGAGATTTAGGTAGGGATACAGAGCCAAACCATTTCAGGTGGTTTCCACAATAGGGTTCAACACAGTGCCCCATCCTGGGGAAGAGAGGGAGGTAGGATGCAGGAGGCCTTGCCACCTCTGTGATACCCAGAGCATCTTTACTTTGACCAGTTTTCTGTATTTGGGTCCCATAAGTAGATGCAGACTACATGTTGTTGATGTTGTTATTATTTTTGAGACAGGGTCTCATTTGTCACCCAGGCTGGAGTGCAGTGGTACGATTATGGGTCACTGCAGTCTCAACTCCTGAGCTCAAGTGACCTTCCCACATCAACCTTGGGAGTAGCTGGGACTACAGGCTTGTGCCATCACAGTCGGCTAATTTTTTAATTTTTTGTAGAGATGGGTTTTCACTATAGTACCCAGGCTGGTCTCAAACTCCTGGGCCCAAGAAATCTTCTGGCCTTGGTCTCTCAAAGTGCTTGGACTTGTCCTATCAGGTATCTAAGTTTTAGATTTCCTGTGGCTTTTCCAAGTTGTGAATATCACTCCCCTCTCTTAATCTCTCTCTGTCTCTCTCTCTCTCACACACACACACACACACATTTATACTTTTACTCTTTTCTCTTGTTGTTTTTAAACATAGCCTCCCCGTCCCCAGGTATGTATGCTAATCTTTTCTAATTCTCTTTGGGCTTTTAGACTTACTTCTGTTCCTTGTCTAATATTGTTTAGTTTTTATACCTAAGTTTCTCATAATGCTGCCTGTGTTATCACATTTAATTTTTTTGTTTTCTCCCCCATTTTTCCTCACCAGTCTCCTTCATGCATTTAGAAAATATTGACTGGACACAGTGGCTCTTGCCTGCAATCCCAGAACTTTGGGAGGCCAAAGCGGGATTGAGACCAATAATTTGAGACCAGCCTGGGCGAGATATCAAGACTCCATCTTTATAAATAATTTTAAAAATTAGGCAGACGTGGTGATATGTGCCTGTAGTCCTAGCTGCTCAGAAGACTGAAATAGAAGAATCACTTGAGCCTAGGAGTTCAAGGCTGCAGTGAGCCATGATTGCACCACTGCACTCCAACCTGGGCAACAGAGACCCTGCCTCAAAAAAGAAAAGAGAAAAGATTTGTCAAGGCTTAGCTGTGTGCTAAACAGGGGCAGGGCCTAAGCCTTGGGGATACCTGGCTTCCATTCCCAAGGAGCTGAGGGGTATCGACAAACGAACAGGCAGTTGCAATACAGTGACTGCTTTGTCACATTCCCATTTCTGATATTTTCCCTCTCTTTCGAGCCACTTTCGTTTTATAGTCTGAGACCATGGAATAACTCTCAGGCAAGTAATCACATTTGCCAGCTGTGAAAGAATATGACTCTATACTGATCGAAACCTGGGCAATCGGTTTATATTAAAGACTGGAAAGAGAAAGGGGGCTGGCATGTATTAAGTGCCTAATGCATGCTAAACATTAGGCTGGGCCTGCTAACATACCTTATCTTACTTATTTTTCACAATTACCCAAAAGGAGGTATCATAACCTTCATTTTCCAAGTGATAAAATTCAGGTTTAGAGAACCCTAAGGTCACATAGCTATGAATCAGGATATTGGGATTCACGTTCAAGTTTGGCTTTCCAATGCATTATGTTACAAAATTCGCCTTCTTTGAAATGGTGCCTTTGACCCTTCCATGCCTCTCCTTCACTGGGTCTGTATTTTTTAGACCCTTCTAAATGCAGCTTGGCTCAGAACTCACACCTACTCAGAGGCTTGCCAGTGTGGGGATGAATCAGGAAAAGTGGCAAGGGCTGGTGCAGGCAATGACAAAGAGGCTGGCAATGGTGTGAATGCCGACGCTTTGCCCTGCACTGACTATTCAGTCCAGGCTTGGGGACCACAGCAGTGTCACCATACAATGATTTCAGGAGCCATCAGCATGTCAGAGATGGAAGACTCACAGACTCTAAGTAGGGTATGTGCACTTTGCAGAGACAAGAGAAGAAGATAGCAAACTCCATCATGTGTCATATTGCATCAGTACCCATTCTCTGTCTCTCTGAAGACTATGCCTGAAGTGATGGCAAAAAGCTGGCCTTACTTATTGGACAAGGTCTGGAAAATGTGAATGGAAAACAAAGGAAAGAGGAGGGAAAAAAGCTAGTTGGTTTAATAGGAAAATGCTATATGTCTCATGAATAAAGCAGAAACTCTGGATGTTATGAAATGGCAGGGGCTGATCACAGGGCAGAGAGTAGATCCCAGAGTCCATCAGCATGATAGGTGTGTCCCTCCCAGAGGGCATGGTGAACTAGGGCCACGGGAACTGAGTATGATGTACTGTGTCCAAGGAAAGTGGTATTTCTATGGAAAGAAGAAATGAGCACGCTGGCCTCTGTCACTATAGCTGGCAGGTTAAAAACCCCTACTAGGGGCCGGGTGCAGTGGCTCACACCTATAATCCCAGCACTTTGGGAGGCAAGGCAGGTGGATCACTTGAGGTCAGGAGTTCAAGACCAGCCTGGCCAACATGGCAAAACCCTGTCTCTAATAAAAATACAAAAATTAGCCGGGTGTGATGGCACATGCCTGTAGTCCCAGCTACTTGGGAGGCTGAGGCAGGATAATTGCTTGAACCCGAGAGGTGGAGGTTGCAGTGAGCTGAGACCGTGCCACCACACTCCAGCCTGGGTGACAGCATGAGACTCCGTCTCAAAAATAAATAAATAAATATTCTTCTTTAAAAATTTTTATTATATATGTAAATATTAATATAATTATTTAAGGACATAATTTTCAAACATGCATTTATTAGAGAGCAGGCTAGAAAAAATATTTTTAGTGATCACAAAAATTTGGAAACCACTTATTTAAATCATTTCTAGTTCTATTTTCTGTTTCTTGCAGCCAAAAGCATCCTAGCTCCTAAAAGGATAATAATAGTAGATAACGCTGAATGTTCACTATGTGGCAAACACTTTTAAACCTTCACTTAATCCTCATGACAATCTTCAAAGTTGGGTACCATGATTCCCCCGTTTTACGAATGAGAGCTTTGACTAGGAAAGATTAAATAATTTGCCCCACATCAGAAAGCTAGTGCGTTAAGGCGCCAGGATTAGAACCCGGCTAGCTCTACGTCCTGCGCACTTAATCATCATGTTATACAGGGGCACAGACTTCATTTTACAGTAAGGAAGCAGAGCCATGAAAAACTTAAAGAACTCCAAGCAGACTCAACAAGTCATGGCAGAACTGAAGACAGGGTGAAGGAGAGATGGCCCATGAACTAGTTGGTCAGCTACTATGGTGGGACGTGGGCCCGGTTCTATCCTAACAATGAGACGGCATTCCTCATGGCATGTTAGGAATCGGCTGCCTTCCCTCCTTCCTTTCCTCTTTACCTCCTTCCTCTCTTTTCTTCTCCCTTTCTCAGGCATGCGAATTCCATCCCTCCTGCCCCGACCCCACCACCATCACCACATGCACATACTCAAGCCTGATCTTTTTTTTTTTTTTTTTGAGACGGAGTCTTCGTTCTGTCTTCCAGGCTGGAGTGCAGTGGCATGATCTCGGATCACTGCAACCTTCGCCTCCCAGGTTCAAGCGATTCTCCTGCCTCAGCCTCCCGAGTAACTGGGACTACAGGCACCCACCACCAAGCCTGGCTAATTTTTTTTTGTTTGTTTATAGAGATGGAGTTTCACCATGTTGGCCAGGCTAGTCTCAAACTCTCTGACCTGAAGAGATCCACCTGCCT